>NC_000001.11:237396242-237547757 GCF_000001405.40 Homo sapiens
ACATTTTGAGGACTATGAATGACTCCAGTATGCTTGGCTAAGTCATCTATATTGAGAATACCTTGATTTCAAGTGAGTAACTCTACATACGGGAAGAGTCTCTGGACCAATAGAATAGGAATCTGAACGTTGATAACAGTGATTTAAAACAAAAGCATTTTTGGGGTTGTGGATATCTTTGAGAATCTAATATATGCTACAGATTCTTCCATAGAGAATTTGCATACTTGCCAACATGCACAATTTTTGTGATGTTAAATTATGTTTTCTCCCACTATTTTCTCTTATTTCTTCCCATTTAAGCAGCCAGCAGTCCCTGTGTTTCTTTGCCTGAGGGGAGGTTTGAGACTTGGCAGAAAGCTCAAGTTTTCTGCAAGGCATCTCTCTTCCTGACTCTCAGTCCCCAAAGACTAAATCTAAGGCATTTGTTATGCTTAATGTCTTGAACAGAAAGGAAAGAGGGATTCTTCAGACAGAAAAAGGAGACGTTTTCCCCAGACTTAAAAGACATTCACATGGATCAACTGGACTTCCAAACATACACAAAAGAGAACCTGGGCCTAAACTTCACATTTTATATCAAATCTAATTCCAAATAGATCACAGACTTAAATATGAAGCACATACTTTTAGGAAAACAAACATAAAAGTTTTAAGGGAAAAAAAATCAGAAAAAAATCTTTGGGATCATAGAGTTCTTAAACTTGACACCAAAAGTATGTCTATAAAAGAAAAAATTAGGCTGGACGCAGTGGCTCACACCTGTAATCCCATCACTTTGAGAGACTGAGACAGGTGGATCACTTGAGGTCAGGAGTTCAAGACCAGCCTGGCCAACATGGCAAAACCCTGTCTCCATTAAAAAATACACAAATTAGCCAGCTGCTTGGGTGGCTGAGACAGGAGAATCGCTTGAACGCAGGAGGTGGAGATTGCAGTGAGCTGAGGTCATGCCACTGCACTCTGGCCTGCCTGACAGAGCGAGACTGTTTCAAAAAAAAAAAAGAAAGAAAAGAAAAAATGATAAATTGTGTTAACAGAGAAGACAAAAATCTATGAAATATTTTACAGAGGTTAATTCTAAGCCGATATGAGTGACTGAAGCCCAGGGAAAAACACAAACTCAAGAAGCCTTGAGTAAATGGTCCCGAGGCCGTTATGTCACGACTATGTTTTATACAGTCTAGGGAAGTAGAAGTTACAGGCCAAGTCATAAGTGAATACATGGAGGTGATATACATCAGCCTTGCCTAAAAAGGTGGGATATCTTAAAGTGGCAGCTTACAGGTCATAAGTGGGTTCAAAGATTATTTAATCTGCAACTTGTTAAAGGAGCAATGCTTTGCCTAAAAATTTGGAGTCAGCAGAAAGTAATGTTTAAGGAAGTCTGTTAACCAGTACCCTGGGTCTGAGTGACCTGTAGGGGTAGGGGACTTAACACTTGTATGGCCTGGCCTTACACCCTGTTTATAATTTGGTATCTTTTTTTTTTTTTTTGAGACAGAGTCTTGCTCTGTCACCCAGGCTGGAGTGCAGTGGCGCCATCTCGGCTCACTGTAAGCTCCGCCTCCCAGGTTCACGCCATTCTCCTGCCTCAGCCTCCCGAGTAGCTGGGACTACAGGCACCCACCACCACATCTGGCTAATTTTTTGTATTTTTAGTAGAGACAGGGTTTCACCATGTTAGCCAGGATGGCCTCAATCTCCTGACCTCGTGATCCACCCGCCTCGGCCTCCCAAAGTGCTGGGATTACAGGCATGAGCCACTGCACCTGGTCTATAATTTGGTATCTTGTTGTCATGAAGAGTCTGTTCTGTCAGTCTTCTGAGATCTATTTTAACATGAATGCCGGCCAGTCATTGTGTCTAGACTCCAAAAGGAAGGGAGATAATGAAATGTGTCTAACCTCTTGTCTCATCATGGCCAGAACTCAGTTTTTCAGGTTTCTCTGGGGTCCTCTCAGCCAAGAGAGGAACTGCTCAGTCAGTTGGGGGGCTTGGTATCTTATTTTTATTTTACAATTGAATCTCATCAACAGGAGAAAGTGTGTTTTGCTCTGTAAAAATCCACGTGGAGAGGGTAAAAAGACAAGCTACAGACTGAGAGAAAAGATTTGCAAACCATATCTGATAAAGGACTAGTATCTAAAATACATAAAGAATCAACAGTAAAATACAAACAATTCAATTAGAAAATAGGCAAAAACCATGACAGCTATTTGTCAAAGATGACATACAGATTGTAAATAAGCACATAGAAATATGTTCAGCATTATGACCCATTATAGAAATGCAAATTAAGACCACAATGAGATAACACTGTATGCTTATCAGAATGACTCAAACAAAAATATTGACAGCCACGTGCTGGTGAGAATGCAGAGAAACTGTCATATATTGCTTGTAAAATGGTACAGCCACTCTGGAAAACATTTTGGCAGTTTCTTAAAAAACTGAACCTGCATGACCATGTGGCTTAGCAATAGTACTCCTGGGCATTTATTCTAAAGAATGAAAACTGTGTTCACACAAAAACTTGTACACAAATACTTGGTGTAGAGCAACTTTATTTGTAATAATCGAAACATGGAATCAGCTGTGGTATGTCCATAGCGTGGGATACTACTCAGCAGTGAAATGGAATGGTCTATTGAAACGCACAACCACCTGGCTGTACATGGTGGTTCACACCTGTAATCCCAGCATTTTGGGAGGCCAAAGTCGGTGAATCACTTGAGGTCAGGAGTTCAAGACCAGCCCAACCAACATGGTAAAACCCTGTCTCTATTAAAAATGCAAAAAATTAGCTGGGCATGGTGGCACATGCCTGTAATCCCAGTTACACAGGAGCCTGAGGCAGTAGAATCACTTGAACTCAGGAGTTGGAGGTTGCAGTGAGCTGAGATCATGCCACTTCACTCCGGCCTGGGCAACAGAGTGAGTCTCTGTCTCAAAAAAAACATAAAAAATAAAAATTGAACACACAGCAACCTCAATGAATCTCCAGGCAATTATGCTGAATGGAAAATATCAATCCCCAAAGGTTGCATACTGTGTGATTCCATTTTCATAACATTTTTAAATGATAAAATTTTAGGAATGGAGGACAGATTATAGGCCATCAGATGTTAGGGAAACAGGGGAGGGAAATGAGAGGGAGGTGGATGTGGATATAAAAGGGCAACTTGAAGGAACTTTGTGGCGTAGGATCTTGCCTGTGATGGTGAACCCAGTGTTGGATATAAAATACTCCAGGAATAAATGCTGAGTGCCATGAAGTAAAACCAGTACTCAGGAAAAAGTTTAATGCTCTCAGCAAGGCAATCTACTTCTGCAGAAGGGTGTCACTCACATCAATCAAGTTCGCAAGTGCACACAGAACAAAGGAGACCAGGGGGTTTTTATCCTTAACGCAGCCCCTATCTCTGTGTCACTCCCCCATGGGCTAGGGTTGGACCGCACAATCTGAGCTGACTCCATTGGCTACTTGTACATATTTTCCTAAATATAGTGGGGGAGGGGAGGGGAGGTACAGAAGTGGAGTGTGTGAGACGTGCAGTTTCGGGGGAACAATGGGTATAGGTAACCAAGTGAACAAATGTGAGTTATTGATTAGAGCTGATGGGAAGGGGGTAGGGTGTTTACGGTAACTAGGGGCAAGGAAGAACAAAAAAGTTGAGTTTGAGAACAAAGGATAAAGAAGTTAACAGGCTAAACCCTTTGAAGAGAAACTCAGAAAGATTTCTTGTGTCTTACACCAGGATCTTACACAAATGATAAAATGGTTTAGAACTTACACACACACACACACACACACACAAATGAATACAAGTAAAATTGGAAAAATCTAGTAAGTTTGGGAGATTGTATCAAAATCAAAATCTTTGTTGAAAAACTGTAGTTGTCAAACTCTTACTATAGAGGAAACTAGACAAAATGTTCAAGGGATTTTTATTATTTGTTACAACTGCACATGACCAGAGTGATCTCAATTTTTTAAGGCATTCATAGAGACTGGACAAAGAGCAAAGATTTCTGGGGTCCCCTTTCGGGATACCAAGCACTCAGCTCCCGACAGCCTTCTCCTCCGCATTCCATCCTGGCCTCTAAGGAGGTGGCAAGAGGTCAGAAGGGAATGACTGTGGAGATTTTTACTTTAGCACAATGTCCTGTGTCTCCCAGGTGGATAAAAAGCAGTGGCCCTCAGACTGGAAGGGGGCATGTAAAGAGAGACCCTGAATATAGGAGATCTAGCAAGCAAATTGGTCCTGCCCAATATCTGATATTAAGGTACTGCTTTACCAAGAATGATTAGGGCTTGATTTCCTCACTATCCTGATGGGAGGGAGACTCAAAGTTGGAAATAGTTATATTTTAAAGATAATTTTTAAATGTTATATTCATAATAATAGTAGACATTATTTATAATAATTGTTGACATTATTTCACACCAACCTCCCCACTCCCACTGAGAAAAACTAATAAAGGTAGACACTCTCCTTTCCCCCGAAAGTAGAGAGTGAACAAAGCAGTGAAGATGTAGTATTGGGTCATAGTCCCAAAAAGGAAGGAGATCAGGGAAATGAATTTAGTGTTTGGAGCAGCCTCTTCTCTCTAGGCAGTTGCAATGTCTGAAGGGCTTAGAAGTGAAGCACAACTGTTAGAAGAATCATAGGATGGAAATGGATCAAAAATTGTACAAATCTCCCTAAAGAAGAGGCGTGTTTGGTGGGACCTCAAAGAACTGTATCCCTAAAATAATTGTGATCCAGAAATAGACCAGACCTTACAAGTATTGAGACCCAGCATCAAATAATATTAATTGCCATTTGGGATTTGCCATAAGACAATATGAGATTACTATGGCCCTCGTCTGTCAATTCTGCAAGAAGCAAAAGTAAACCTTTAGGGAGAAAATTACATATAAAACTCAAATTGCCTATATAATTTTATATATACAATGTCTGATAATCAAAATTAAACAGGCTATTTTGTTTCAGCACCAACTAGCATACTGCGGTATATTTCTGACACTAACCACCTGGAGTTAGCACAGACTGCACAAGTTATGGGCTCAGTTTTCTCCAAAACTGCCTCTATCTCAGATACCAATCACAAATGGGATCCCCAGACCACTTGCGGTTCTGACCAACTGGCTATACATTTAGAGGTTCCCATAATCCCTTTAGATTCAATAACTCACTAGAATGACTCACAGAACACAGATGTTATACTTATGCTTGCAGTTTTATTATAAAGGCTACACATCAGACCAGCTAAATGAAGAGATCCATAGGATGAGGTCTGGGAGGGTCCTGAATGCAGAGCTTCTCGTTCCCTGTGGAATTAGGATATTTTACCCTCTTAGCACATAAATGTGTTCACTATCCAGGATGCTTCCTTGAGCTTCAGTGCCCAGAATGTTTGAGTGCAGTTTTATTATGTAAGAATGATGCATTCGATCATAGGCTACATGATGGAATTCAATCTCTAGCATCCTTCCTATCCCTAGATGTTGTGCTGGATCAAACCTCTACCCCTTTAATCGTGTGGTTTATCTTTCCAGCATGGCCAGCTCCCATCTTGAAGCTATTTAGGGGCCCACCATGAACCACATCATTAGCATAAACTGAGGTGTGATGTAATGGGCTCATGAATAACAAAGCCACTTCTATTCACTTGGAAAATTCCAAGGGTGTACTGTCTTCCAGGAATGAAGGACAAAGATCAGCCTACTTACTTATTATCAAACATGGGCACAGAAGATGATAGGACTTGACTAAAGATCAAGAGCATATACATAGTACTGAAAAAGGCACATAGATATTAGACACACAGATAATGGAGTTTAATTAAAAATATTTATGATTATCTGGTGGGGTACAGTGTTTCTATAATCTCAACACTTTGGGAAGCCAAGGCAAGAAGATCACTTGGGCCCAGGAGTTCGAGACCTGCCTGGGCAACATAAAGAGGCCTTGTCTCTACAAAAAAAAAAAAGTTTTTTAATTAGCTGGGTATGGCAAGTGGAGAGCTGAGTATAGCAAGTATGGAGGAGAGCTTGAGCCCAGGAATTCAAAGCTGCAGTGAGATATGATTGTGTCACTGCACTCCAGTCTGGGTGGCAGAGCAAGACCCTATCTCTTAAAAAAAAAAGAAAAAAAAATATATATATGTATGATTATTATGTTCTAAGAATTAAAAGATGCAACAATTTAGTAGAGAACTGGAAACTATAAAAAATGATCATATAGACATTCTAAAACTAAAAAATAAATAACTTAGAAACAATGGATAGATTTAATATCAGCTTAGAACTAGCTGAAAAGAGAATTGGTGAACTGGAAATCAGATCAGAAGACTATTCAGACTAAAACACTGACAGTCAAAAGATTGGGAAACAGGCTGGGCTTGGTGTCACACACCTGTCATCCCAGCACTTTGGGAGGATACCTTGAACTCAGGAGTTTGATACCAGCCTGGACAACATAGTGAGATTTCATCCCTACAAAAAAATTGAAAAGCCAGATGTGGTGGTGCATGCCTATAGTCCCTGAGACTCAGAGTCTTACTCTATTGGGCAGGCTGGAGTACAGCGGTGAAATCATGGCTCACTGCAGCCTCGATGTCCTGGCCTCAAACCATCCCCCTGCTTCAGCCTCCTGTCTCCACCCTCCTTCCCCCCAAAAAAGATTGGGAAATATAGAAAAGAACAAAAAAGATGGTAAATGATATTATAGATGGTCTATCCTACATGCATGTAATTGGAGTCCCAAAATGAAAGGACAAGGGTGGGAGAGAGGAAGCAGCCAAGGAGAGAGGAAAGATGGATGGAGGGAGACAAAGAGAACTCACAGGTGCGTGGAGTAAAGGAAGTATTTAATACAATTGCTTGAAAGTTCTCCAAAATTGACTAACTATATTAAGCTACTGATTCAAGAAAAACTATGACCCCTAAATAAGACAAATCAGATCACAGGTATGCACATCAGAGGAAAACTGCTGAAAAGTAAACACAAAATGAAACTCGAAAAGCAAAAAGATATAGTACCTTTAAAGGGGCAAGAGTAAGATTTGCAGTTGATTTCAACTCAGAAACAATGGGAGACATGGGATGTAAGCTTAAAAGTGCTTAAAGAAAATATCTGGCAATCTAAAATTTTATATCCGGTAACACAGTGATACTTTATTTAATTTACTTTGGGACAGGGCCTTGCTCCGGCTAGAGTGCAGTGGTGTGATCATGGTTCACTGCAGCCTCAACCCCCTGGCCTCAAGCAATCCTTGATTCTCCCACCTTGGTCTCCTGAGTAGCTAGGACTATATGCGTGTGCCACCATGCCTGGCTAATGTTTAAATTTTTTGTAAAGACAGTATCCCACTATGTTGCCCAGGGTGGTCTTGAATTTCTGATCTTAACCAGTCCCCCCTCCTTGGCCTCCCAAAGTGCTGGGATTGCAGGCATGAGCTACTGCACCCAGACCTAGTAATACTTTTAGACAAAGTTGAGGGAATTCATCAACACCAGATTCACATTAAGGAAATACCAAAAAGAGTTTCTTTGAGTAGAAGAAAACTATCTCATATGTAACTTTGGAGGTATAGAAACGGAAAAAAAGCCACAGAAAGATAAATACGAGAGTTAAATCAGAGGATACTGAGTGAATAAAATAATGATAATGATGATTATAAAAACAGCAAAAACATCTTGGATTTTAAAACCATAGAGAACAGGCTGTGGTGGCCCACATCTGTAAACCCAGCAGTTTGGGAGACTCAGGTGGGTGGATTGCTCCAGTCTAGGAGTTCAAGACCAGCCTGGGAAACATGGCGAAACCCCATCTCTACAAAAAATACAAAAATCAGCCAGGCCTGGTGGCATGCACCTGTAGTTCTACATAATCGGGAGGCTGAGGTGGGAGGATTGCTGGAGCCTGGGAGGTTGAGGCTGTAGTGAGCTGTGATTGCAACACTGCTACTGCACTCCAGCTGTGGTGACAGAGGGAGACCCTGTCTCAAAACAAAAAATTATAGAGAACAACTCATTACAACACTGGCACATGAGTCAAGGGGAAAGTAACTTGAATTAAATGGTGGTTCTTGCATGGTCTGGAAAGTGGTAAAGTTACTAATTAGATCCTGTTATAATAAGCCAAGAATACATATTGTAATCTGTAATCACTGCAAACATAGTAAAAGAATGTAAAATTAAAGGAGAAACCATAAAAATATAATAGTAATACTTAATCCACAAGAAAGCAGGAAATGAGAATAAGAAACCTGGAGTAGGACAAATATTAAGAAGACCAAATTCTGATGTGGCCTCGAGATTCTCACCCCAGCTATACACATCCTGTATATAATTCCTCCCTTTTTGTGTGATGGGACTGGGTATATGACGGACTTCATTCCCATGACTAGATTACATTATTTGACAAAGCTGAAAGAATGTTGCAAATGTAATTATGGCCCCTAATCAGTTGACTTTACGTTAATTGAAAGGGAGATTCTCCCAGGGTAGTCCTGAAGTCTTAGCTTCAAGGTGTGTGAGATTCTTCTGCCATGATTGATGAAGTGAGCTGCTGTGTTTTGAGAGGGACTGTTTAGGAGACTGTATTGCAAAGTTGCTGAGAGCCCTCTCCAGCTGTCAGAGCGCAATGAAATAAGGCCTTCAGTCATAAAACTGCAAGGCACTGAATTCTGGGAACCACTGGTGAGCTCCTATAAGGGCCTGAGCTCCAGGTGGGAACCCAGCCCCAACCAACACTTTGATTTCAGCCTATGAGACCCTGAGCAGGGAACCCAGCTACATCATGCCTAGACTTCCAACCTACGGAATGGTAGAATAAGAAATGGTGGTGTTTCTCAGCCATGAAGTCAGGGGTAACTGATTACACAGGAATAGACTACCAAAACATTCTGTGTGACATCACCTTGGGAATGAGGACATATAGTAAAGGACTGACCCTAAATTGTAGAGATGAGGAGCATCTAGCAAAGGATGCAACTGCCAGTGATGTAGGAGGAAAACCTGGAAAGAGTGGTATCCTGGAGTCAAAGCATAAGATTGCCAAGGGCAGTGGGGTGATCAACTATGTCAAATGCAGTTCTCCCCTCAAATATATCCACAAATGGAATGCCCTTGAAACAAAATGTTTTCATTCTTTTCTTTCTTATAGCCTCAACGATGAACTTTGTGAATTACTGTCAAGTCTAATCCACAGACTCATTCTCCTGAACTTCTATCCTAAATGTTCAAGTTCTTATTGCGTATGTCTGCGTGAATTTCACTTGAGACAGCAATTCAAATATATCAACCTTAATTTAATTCCATCAGAGATGTTTTCCTTCTTACAGCCCATAACTTGGTTATGTATACCAGTCTACTATGCTCAAAACTTTGCCTTGACTTTTCTTTTACCTTTTATGAAACAAGAGAAAGAAGGATTTTAGGTCCTATTGATTTTATTGCTAAATTTTTTCTCTATTAGACTTGTTTCTCTTGCTGATGTCAATTTTAAGGGTGCACCTTCCTGTTTACTGTGATTTGAGGGTTCTGTTGTGCTGTTGCTTTCAGATTAATATCCAAAGTCTTTATCTTTAACTCCTTTTTATCCTTGTGGATTTGTGACCACCATTCAGAAAAGTAGGTGAAAAAACTTTCTTAACTTTATCTCTTCATCCCACCATCAACCACTGAGGTATTCTTGCACTTTGAATATGGCAGCATTCTACTTCATGATTCTGCAGCCTTTCTACTCTCACTGCCACGCTCTCATTCCTCATATCCTCATTCTTTTCTTTGCATGCTGAATTCTTACTCAGCTCCAGGAGTGAACCCAAATATCTCCCTCATGAAAACTTTGCAGAGCTCTTCTTGACAATTTATGTCCTTTCATCCCCTCCCCTCCCCTTCCCTTCCCTTCCCTTCCCTCCCCTCCCCTCCCCTTCCCTTCCCTCCCCTCCCTTCCCCTCCCCTCCCCTCCCCTCTCCCATCTCTTTATACGTAGTTTCCCCATACTACTACCTAGGCTAGTTTTTGGTGTTCGTGTCTTTCTTACCATGTCAAACTGTACATTCGTGGATACAGGAACTTTGGTGTTTTATATTTCTTTTTCCTAAAATATATACCTATGTGTCTAGAATATGAATGGTAAACAATTAGTGTTTGTTTTTGGCTAAATACAATTATATTTCTATATACTGTTGTTTTTACGAAAGAATAGAAAGATAATAGTTCTTCATATTATTTACTTTTGCAACATTTACACATACACATTTGTAGCTCTCCATCCTTCTCTTTTAAAGAGAATAATCCAAGTTTATTTGAGATAGCCTGGTGTTATTTTGTATATTCTGGAGAAAAAATGCCCTAAAAACTACCTCCTTTTTTCCCTGTAATATATTCCTAATATATTTGTATTACTATATTAGTATTTGTTGAGCTAGAATACCTAATGATTTTTAAAAAATTAATAGACTTTATTATACACTTTTAGGTTTACAGGAAAATTGAGCAGAAAGCACAGAGAATTCTGCCTCACCAGTTTTCTTGTTATTAACATCTTGTATTAGTATGGTACTCTTGTTATAAATGATAAAGTAATACGGACACATTATTCTTAATTCTCTAAATTAGGCTTACTCAGTGTTGTACATTCTATAGACTTTGACTAATAACATGTATCCACAATTGCAGTATCACACACAATAATTTCACTGCTCTCAAAATTCCCTGTTCCCCATTTATTCCTTCTTCCCTCCCCTGAACTCCTGAAAAAATATTTATTTTACTGTCTCCATAGTTCTGCTTTACTCAGAATGTTAAATAGTTGGAATCATATAGTTATGATTCCAAACTGGCTTCTTTCACTTAGCAATCTGCATATATGGCCCCTCTATATCTTTTCATGACTTGATAGCTGATTTCTTTACATCACTGAAAAACATTCCAATGGATGTGTTACAGTTTATTCACATTTTGGCTGCTTCCAAGTTGTGGTAATTAAAAGCTACTATTAATATTTACATGCAAGTTTTGTATAGACCTAATTTATTTGGGTAAATATCAAGAAGCACAATTGGTGAATCCTATGGTAAGAGTATGTTTAGCTTTTTAAGAAACTGCAAAACTGTCTTCCAAAGTGGCTGTATCATTTTGTATTCTCACCAGCAATGAATGGGAATCCTCTCCAGCATTTAATGTTGCAGTATTCCAGGTTTTGGCCATTGTAACATATGAATAGTGATACCTCAAGTTGCAAATGTTGACATATGACATTGAGCATCTTTTTATATGCTTATTTGTCATCTGTATATCTTTGATGAGATGTCTTAGATCTTCTGGTGATTTTTAAATTGTGGTTGTTTTTTTTTTTTTTTTTTTTAAATTGAGACGGAGTCTGGCTCTGTTGCTCAGGCTGGAGTGCAGTGGCATGATCTCGGCTTACTGGAAGCTCAATCTCCTGGGTTCACGCCATTCTCCTGCCTCAGCCTCCAGAGTAGCTATGACTACAGGTGCCCACCACCATGCCCGGCTAATTTTTTGTGTTTTTAGTAGAGATGGGGTTTCACCGTGTTAGCCAGGATGGTCTTGATCTCCTGACCTCGTGATCCACCTGCCTCGGCCTCCCAAAGTGCTGGGATTACAGGCGTGAGCCACTGCGCCTGGCCAAATTGTTGTTGAATTTTAAGAGTTCTTTACATATTTCGGATGCCAGTCCTTTCCCAGATATGCGATTGCAAATATTGTCTTTCAGTCTCTGGCTTGTCTTTTTATTCTCTTAATAGTGTTTTCTTGCAGATCAGAGGTTTTTAATTTTAATGAAGCCCAACTTACCAATTTTTTATTTCATGAATTGTGCTCTTGATATCTAAAACATCATTGTCAAATGCAAGAACATCTAGATTTTCTCTTATGGTATTTTCCAGCAGTTTTATAGTTCTCTGTGTTACATTTAGGCCTATGGTTCATTTTGACCTAAATTTAGTGGAAGGTGTCAGGTGTGTTCTAGATTAGTTTTTCTACACATGTGTATAAAGTTGTTCCAGCACTGTTTGTTGAAAAGACTATATTTTCTCCATTGTATTAGGTCTGTGATCCATTTTGAGTTAATTTTTATGAAGGGCGTGGTCTGTGTCTAGATTCTTTATATATATATATAAATGGATATCCAGTCTTTTCAGTACTATTTGGGGAGAATGTCCATTGACTTACTGATTCTTTGTTAGAGATCAATGTGCTATATTTGTGTGGGTCTATTTCTAGGCTCTCTATTCTGTTCCACTGACCTGTTTGTCTGTTCTTTCACCAATACCACACTGTGTTGAATACTGTAGCTTTATAGTAAGTCCTGAAATCAGATAGTGTCAGTCTCCCAACTTCGTTCTTCTCCTTCAATATTGTGTTGGCTCTTCTATGTCTTTCACTTCTCATATAAACTTTAGAATCAGTTTGTTAATATCTACAAAATAACTTGCTGGGATTTTGACTGTGATTGCTTTGAAACTATAGATCAAATTGGGAAGAACTGATGTCTTGAAATATTGAGTCTTCCTATCCATGAACATGGAATAGCTCTCAATTTATTTAGATTTTGTTTGACTTTTTAAATCAGAATTTTGTAGTTGTCTTTATTTAGATTTTGTACATATTTTGTTAGATTTGTATTTCAGCATTTAATTTTTTGGTATTAAGATAAATAATATTTTTACTTTAAATACGTGTTGTTCATTGCTGGTATAGAAGAAATTGATTTTTGTGTATTAATGTCCTGAAACTTTCCTATAATTGTCTATTAGTTTCAGGAGATTTTTGTTGTTATTCTTGATTCTTTGAGATTGGGGTAAATAATCATGTCATCTATGAAGAAAAAGTTTTATTTCTTCCTTCTCAGTCTGTATACATTTAATTTCCTTTTCTTATGTTATTGCATTATCTAGAACTTCTGTTACAGTCTTGAGTAGTAGTGGTGAAGAGAACATTCTTGATTTGGTCCTGATATAGAAGCAACAAGTTTCTTATGATTGAGTATGGTGTTGGCTGTAGGCATTTTTTGTAGATGTTCTTTATCAACTTGAGGAAGTTCCCTTCTATTCCTCATTGGCTGAGAATTTGTATTATTAATAGACACTGGATTTTGTCAAATACTTTTTCTTCATTTATTGATATGATCAATGATTTTTTTCTTTAGCATGTTGATATGATGGATTATACTATGGTTCAGTGATATCTTAATTACCTTATGTATACAAAAGGAGAAAATATTCATTTTTGCTATCATACTTGTATTCAAACAGCACATTCCTTTTGAAATAAAAAACAGTGATTTCTAGAAATACCTGTTATGACATTTATAATATATTTTGTTTAGATTATGAAATAACTACTGATTTTTGAAGGGAGAATTGAATTCTGTGGTATATCACAGAAATTCTATGGTATATTCATTGAAAGTTGAGTTTGGATAAATGAAGTAGTATTTTATTACTTCCCTGCATTGCAGTAACTAAAATACATTGATATGGCTTCTTCTTTGTCCCTATTATATTCTACAGAAACATGTAATTATAATATGAATTGGCAAGGAAATCTTCAGAGCCTGGTAAACTGTTTTCTCTACTTTTAACATATGTAATGGATTCATGATCAAAATTTGATGTGACTGATTGAATTGTCTTTTATTATTATTTACCTCTTCTGGTGTTCAGTATTTGTTATATACTCTACCCTTTTTCTTGACAAAAAATGAAACCAGAATGTTATGTATTCAGAAAATAGGACTCTGAATAGTTCTGTATCATTTCCCCATTGCTCTAAAGTCATGGTAAATGTAAAAAAGAGAAAAATAAAGTTCACTTAGAGCCCCTCTCAAAGTGTCCGTGATACTGTAGTAATAATAGACTATGTAAGCTATTCAGCATTACTGCACTAACCTTGTCAGGGCTTTGTTATGTTGAAGAAACAAAAGTAGATTGAAAAATGCCCCAGCTGTTCTTTCATGTGGCTTTTTTGGATAAGCCAAGTGCTCTGAAGCGCTGTGAATTTGTCTATATTTCTCTTAAGGGCAAAAAAGATCTGTCACAATGTAGATATGAATTCTAGATTTAGAAATGTTATTCAAGATAGATAAGGTAAGACATTTCCTTCAATTTATGAAAGACCCTAGACCCTGGATTTTATCCAGCTAGCTTTCTCTGAGATTAAAATGACCAATAATATGGGTAGAATATTCTAGATCTAAGGTCAACCAATCAAGGCAGTAGGTCAAATCCAGCCCACTGCCTTTTTTTGCAAATAAAATTTTATTGTTACACAGCCATCCTATTTTTAAAAACATATTGTCTATGTTTGCTTTTGTATGATAATAACAGAATTAAATAATGAGACAGAGACCATATGGCTCGCAAAACCGAAAATATTTACTAACTGGCCCTTTACAGAAAAAGTAGGTCTGCTCCTGTTTTAAACCACCCTTTCATGGTGGCAATGAAAGTCATAGTGGTGGGTGTCAAGTCCAACAGTTCTCGAGACAGTGGATCCCTGTGCTGGAGCTACAGTAAGGGTGACAAAGCAGGTGACTTCAGAAGAGGATTTAAATAAGAGAGAAGGTAGGAAAAGAAGTATTCTTTTAATCTATATAATGTATGCATTCTTTTCAGAGCTTGAATTTTTTATAGTGTCATTTTACAAATGTATTGCGATGCATACACAATAGAATATTATACAACCTTTAAAAAGAAGGCAATCCTGTCATTTGCAACAACATGGATGAACCTGGAAGACATTATGCTAAGTGAAATAAGCCAGGCACAGAAAGACAAATACTGCATGATTTTACTCATGTGTGGAATTCAAATTCATGGAAGGAGAGAGTAGAATGGTGGTAGCTAGAGGTCACCTCCAGTGACTACAGCCCTAGCTAACAACTTGACTGCAACCTCACAAGAGACTCCAAGGCAGACACCAAGCAAGAAGCACCTAGTTAAGATACACTGTATTCCTGACCCATAGAAACAGTATAAAATAATGTGTTTATTATTTTTTTAAAAAAAGAATGCTGAGATCCTGCCATTGAATTGCAGGAGGAGGCTAGCACTGAAGTGACTGATTTATGATGAAGCTATTAATAGGTAGGCTTCATTTCCTAGTTACGTTGTCCCGAGCGATTTTATAATTTAGGGACTTTGAATATCAACAAGTGTATAATATGATTGATTTAGCAACAATCCATTCAATTCAGGCAAAATATTATTGAATCTTAACTCCCTATATGGAAGGATTGAATATAAATTATGACCACAATCATGGTCATGATCATCACCATCACCATCTGCATCCTCAGAGCTGACATTTGTTGTGCAAGGACTTTTCCAAGTGGTCTACGTGGGTTATATTACTCATTCATTCTTCACAGTAACCCAGTAAAAATTATTCCCATTTTACATATGAAGAAAATGAGACAGAGAGGTCAACAGCTTGCACAAGTTCACACAAAGAAGTGACATCTTAAGAAAGTTAATAACAATCAAATGTGAAAGTGAGTCATCAACTTTTAGTTGCCCTGCAGAACAAACAAGAGAGTAACTGTGATGTCATTGGTTGACAGAGCCCTGTGGCAGCACTCACAATGAAAGGAAGTGGTTTCCTTGCAGGTTGGAGGTGTCGCTTACAATGTGCAATCTTTCATTAATAATGTATTTTATGATTCTGTACTAAAGTCCACTAATTAGAATTGTGTGCCCTATAAAATTTTATTGTAAATATATGCCCAACTGTCAAGCTATGAAGAACTCGTAAGGATTTGTGCTTTTATTAATATGCTAATGCTAGTCTTTTCTGGGCCTTAGATTCTAAAGATGAGCTATCCTAGCTGTCAAAGTGCCTGCTTTTTACCGAGAAACAAGTGGCTTGACAACTGAGATAAGACTCAAATTGTGTTTTATAGCCAAAAATACAAAAATAACTAATTTTATATCAGTGGACAATATTATAATACTTATGAGCAGCGGAATTGATGGTTTACTGGGAAGAATTTGTACTTAGAATAACCTTAAAGGGCCTCTTCAGGCAGTTTTATGCGATCAGCCTGAAATATGAGTTCCTAAATGAAATGTATTATATTGTGGGATAATGTGTTATGTAGGCATAACTTACAGCCTTAAGTCTGGAATTTTTCAAAGTACTGTTGAACAAGCTCATACTGCTGGTTATTATATGTGCATATTTTTAACATTCCTATTCAGTGAAATTACAGTGACTTTGACTTTGTCTGGTTTATGAGATTAAAGTTTTTAAACAAAATTCTGTTCAAAATAATAACAATGTCCAGTTCTTTTAGCACATACTCTTTTTCTCAGTAGCTGTAACACTGTTTTAGTACATTGCAAAAATAGTCTCCAGTTAACAAAGAGCTGCATGAGCTCTTTTGTATTTTCATATCCGTCGACCTTCCTGAATTCTGGCATCCTTCCTGCCATTTGCATTAAAATCCCTTGTGATGATTACCTCAAAAGGTGCTGTTGCTATCAGTCTGTGTAATTTCTTAGAGAATCTTTCTCCCTTTTCAGTCATCCAGCTGGAAAGGGCATTTGCTCTGAGTATAATCGTTTATTTGTATGAGTTCAAAGTTGGTAATACCATTTGGCAAACTTGTTGGTCTTTAGAACAATTGTCCTCCTAGACTCTGATTTGATACTTGAAATGCATTGCAGGGAAAAGGGACAATCCCTTAATGGAGCAGGTGTATTCCTCTAGGTGGGCTGATTTCTAAATAAGTTTGAGTGTCCTTAAAGTCCTTTATGAAGGACTGAAATTCCTATTTATTTAAGATCTTGATATTGTGGTGCCAATTTTCAGTCTGAAACAGCCCATGAAGACTTGATTAGACAACCATTGACGCTCTGCACATGCCGTGTAATTTACGTAGGGAACTATGTAATAGCAAAGATTCCCCGCCTGGCAATAAATAATCAAAAGAAGTCATCAGATTCTCTATACCTGCCAATGAAACTTTTAAAAAAATATGAAGAGGAACAATTCAGGGCACAAGAACCTTCAAGATAGAGCTAAAAATATTTCAGGTAGGAAGGAGGATTCAACTTTCCTTTTGACTTTATATTTGTCATGTAAAATTTTAATAAAAATACCATTAGATTTTTATAAAAGATCATTGTTAAATTCAAAAGGTAAAGTTGTCAAAGTAAACCATTTGCGTGATAATTCTTCACTTTATTGTATAAATCCATATAACTTTACAAAGATATATTATTCATGCTATTTGTATCTTAGAGACCTTTTAAAAATGTTTTGAACTTAATTTCTGTATACCTTATTACCTTATGTAATTGTTCCTCTAACGTAATTAATGCTAATAGTTTGATGTTCATTATTTGACAACTTTCTCCATGCTCATACAGATATATGTTCACATATGTACATATATGATAGATTTTTAGTGATAACTTGCACAGAAAATGTACATAATTTACACTCTTGCATCTTATTGAACAGTATATCATTGAGTTTCTTCCTCTATTTTCTGTTGGTTTATTTTGTTCTCTATATGTCTTCAGGCAATTCTTTATTTACATGTTTTATTTAATAATTAAAGGATTGCAGATTAAAAGTGTTCAAAGTTTACCTGTGAATCATAGACTTGTTAAGAAGTGCTTTTCTCTTCATTATATTCTAGATAGAGTATAATTTTGTTTCCCTCTTTGACCCATGAATTATTTAGAAGTTTCTTCATTTTCCAAGTTGTCAATTTCTTTTCTTTTCAGTATTTGTTTCTAATTTTTTTGTTTATGATCAGAAAATACGATGAGTAAAAGTCTTTAAAAATCTGATAACATTTTCTTTGTGGTCAAGTAAAAGACCCTTATTAAAGGTCAAATGTATTTAAAAAGCTGTGTCTTTGTGTGAGTGTGTCTATTTATATATGTGTGTATACACACACAGACGTGCACAATGTCTATATTTTGTCATTCAGTCTTACTTAATCAGTCTGAGTGTTATCTGTACATTGGACTTTTTAAAGCTTTCCAGGTGATTCTAATATACAACCAAGGTTAAGTATGTTGCCAAAATGAAATAATGGGTCTAGTCAAGTGGTTCTCAAAATATGGACCATCAACATCACCTGGGAATTTGTTGGAACTGCAGATTCTTGGGCCTCACCCTAAGATGTGGTCACTTAGAAACTCTGGGGATGGGTCCAGCAATCTCTTTTTAAAAAATTATTTTAATTAGCACATAATTGTACATATTATGGGGTAGAATACGATATATGGCACAAAATTATTTTTAATTGGCACATAATTGTACATATTTATGGGGTACAATATGATATTTCAATACATACACACAGTATAGAATGATCAAATCAGCCGTTGGCATGTATATCAATGCAAACATTTATAATTTCTTTATGTTGGGAACATTCAAAATCCTCTCTTCTAGCTATTTGAAAATATATGCTAAGTTGTTAACTATGGTCATGCTATAGTGCTATCAAATACTAGAACCTATCTCTCCAATCTACTTGTAATTTTTAAATGACATTCTGTCATTCTTAGCAACATGGTTGAGCCTAGAGGACGTATGTTAAGTGAGATAAGCAATCTGGGTCTTAACAAACCCTCAAAGGGAGAGGATTCTACCTCACCGAAGACTTGAGAGCCGCTTACCTATGTCAGTGGCTCTACACTGAGGGTGATTTTGTCCCCAAAGGGACATCTGACAATGTTGGAGAACTCTTAGAACTCTTTTGGTTGTCACAGCTGGTGGGAGGCTACTGGTGGCATTTAGTTGGTAGAGGGCAGGGTTGTAAACATCCTGCCATGCACAGGACAGCCCAAAAGAGAATCACGCAGCCCCAAACATCAACAGTGCTGCTGTGGAGTAACTTACTTAGACTGTACTTTCCAAGGCTTGGCTTCCCATTGCAACCAGCGAGAGAGTTTTTTAAAGTCCTGACTCCAGATCTGTTTAATGTCATTGGTGAGGGTGCACATAAGGATTTCTAAAAACTATCCATGTGAGTACTTTATGCAGCGACAGTTGAAAATCACTGCTGTGGACACTGGTTATTGATGGCAAAAACTGCAATAACTTTTGCACCAACTTACTACCTAAAACTCTTAGGTCCTAATGGATGGATTAGGGTGATCCCAAACTAACTGATTAAATTTTATCTAAAGAAATAGACAATTATGTACCCCTGTTGTGTTATAATGGGAAGTAGAAACACCAATTTGTGAAATGTTCTTGCCAAAAATTCAAACTTGGACAAGCTTCTAGATTTCTAGATCTCACTACCAATTTAGAGGTATGTGTTAAAAAACACCATAGGAAGGCTGTTGGCCAAATCTAGAATGTAGAAAGTCCTCCAGGACATATGGTACAGACTGATTATCACCAAATAAATGGCAAGAAGGGAAGACAAGAGAGGAATGGGGACTATTCTAGAATAAAAGAAACTTAAGACCCCTAACTGATAAGTGTATCTCTTTTGGAACTGGATTTGAAAAAGCAACAGGGGAAAATTAAAAACATCTGTGAGGCAATTTGGGAAGTTCAAACACAGACTAGATATTTCATAATATCAAATAATTATTTTCAGAGTTGCATGTGGAGGGGTAAGTAGAGGTTACAGGTAAAACGCGGTTGTCCCTATGTTGATCATTGTTGATGTCTTCTGCTAGGTGTATGCGGATTTATTTTAATATTCTCTTTACGTATATTTGAAACATTCCACAATAAAGATAGAATGAGAAGGATTATCTAAACAGGTAGGGAACGGCAGGTGAGAATGGTGTTAGAAAAACTTTCAAGACAATAGGAGTTTCCACAGTGTTAAAAAGAAAGTAAGTCTATTGGATTTGGTAACATGAAGGTCACTTGATGACTTTAGCAAAGTCTGTTTCAGTGGAGAAATGGGTCTGGAAGCAAGATTGGAGCCCACTGGAAACTGACAGGAGTAGACATGGTATTACTGCTGTCTGTGAGGCAGGATAGGCTTTCATGTGTTTACATAAGACAGACCCTATAGAGAGGAAGACAGTTAACACTCAGGAAAGAAAGAGGGCATGTGCATCAGCTTTGGTTTCCAAAATAATCTCAAGGCGTTGGTGCAGTCATGAATTTGGATACTTACAGCAATTACTTAGCATTATGTATGGCATATTAACACATTATTTTGAGGGTTTTGGAATTTGGGTGCATGTGATATGCATCCAAAGAAATTCCTTTTTTGTGACTTTTTGGATATTCATATTTTGATATAAATTGCAGATTGCTGTGTTAAAATATTAAGAATTGTGTTCTTACATTTCTTTAAAATGCTTTAAATAATCTAAAACAGAATTTGGAAGTGCAAATATTTATATACATATGTTGAAATAATGATATATTAAACTATACCTAAACTTATCACAGAGTACTTTCATGGACCTAAGTTAGATGAGTAAGGTGAAATCTATTCACTGGGAGGGAGGGATGGGAAGAAACACACACACACACAGAGAGAGAGAGAGAGAGAGAATGAATGAGATTAGAGGGAGAAAATGGCAAGAGAGAATATGTTTAAATCATTGTTTATTCAGGGAAAACTTAGGTTGATCACTGTTACTGTTATTTTGGTTATTTTTATTTCCAGCTATACTGTCTCCTGCCAAAAAAGTATAACTTTAACTGTTTACTCACAGGCCATTTGCTTTTCTCTCCTAATTAGCTTCAAAAAATTAGAGTCCAAAGAATGAAACATGTTTAACTCACATTTGGGCTTTTGTTTGTTTGTTGAAACAGAACTGTTCATTATGAAGGTGGCGCTGTGTCTGTTCATGCACGTTCCCTTTGGAGACTAGAGACGCTAAGAGTTGCGTAAGTAGAACTTCTAAACACAGCCTAATGCACCAAGTGTACCAAATAGCTCAGCGTTGTGCTTCTGTGTCAGCCTGTGATGCTGAAAACTACAGCAAGCAAGCGAACAAAGGAAACACCGAGAAAGTGGTGGACAGTTTCTCTTTTGTCTATTTCCTTCCACCTACCTTTATCATTCCTTAGCCTCAGTTCACCAGCTAGCAAACCTGAGAAATAAGCAATAATTTTGTACAGTCTGCTTTTGTCTTTAGCCTCATTTGTTTTTCTAACATCATCTCATCCCAGACCATGCATCTCTTGGCAGAAATGGCTACTAGGACAGAGTGATGTAAGATTTGGAGACACGACAAGTTCTTTGCAAGCCTGTCGCACATCTCAGATCTGACAGACTGTGGATTTAACCTTCTAAAAGTACATTTAAAACAGGAAACTTGAACATGAGCGTAGGACAGAGTCATTACTGGAAGTCACTATATTTACTTAAAAATCACTTGATAGCTAAGTACAAATCTGCATTGCAATAAAAGTCACTGTGTATTCATTATAGTAATGAGAGTTTTTATATATTAATATTTATGAAACATAAATGTATAAAGTATTTTTTTCTGATGACTTAACTGTCTGAATATTTCCTTTTAGTTCCTGTAAATGAATACAATATGATGATAAAGGTGTCATTTTGAACTATTTTAAGTAGAATTAAAATTTTTAAAAATAATTCGAAGCTTTAGTCCTTTGCCTAAAAGCAGTAAATTTTCAATGTGTTTACTTCCTAGTATATTGGGTTTTAAAGACTTTATTGATTTAGGATGATAATTGATTTGTATTGGGCTTTAAAGACATTATTGATTTAGGATAACAGACTCTATGGGTGGGAATGAGGGCTATCTTACTCTAGTATAACTATATTTAATTAATTAATTTATTTATTTATTTTGAGATGGAGTCTTGCTCTGTCACTCAGGCTGGAGTGCAGTGGCGCGATCTCGGTTCACTGCAAGCTCCACCTCCCGGGTTCACACCATTCTCCTGCCTCAGCCTCCCGAGTAGCTGGGACTACAGGCACCTGCCACCACGCCCAGCTAATTTGTTGTATTTTTAGTAGAGACAGGGTTTAACCGTGTTAGCCAGGATGGTCTCGATCTCCTGACCTCCTGATCCACCAGCCTCGGCCTCCCAAAGTGCTGGGATCACAGGTGTGAGCCACCACGCTCGGCCTAGTATAACTACCTTTATAGACATTTTATTTTGAGATTATTGCCTGTCTAATGGTGATGAGAATAGTTTAGAGGCCTTCAGTCGTTTCTGCTCCTGTGTCCCATGCAATGATTTTGAAAAACTTTGTCCATTCTTGAACACTGTGAGGTTGACATAGAAATCCTTTCATTATCAGTTTAGATGCATAGAATATAACTTCCAGTGTATTTTAAATAGTGATACTTTAAAATAAAATGGTTACATCACCCTTTTCAAAGTATCCAATTGACTGTAAGTAATGCTGTGGTTTAATACCTTTGTTTATTGAAAATGGTCTTCTTTAACAATAAAAATATATATTATTCAGTCTTTCCTTTTCACTACATCCTACTCCTCTGCAACAAAAATATTTATATAAATTTATTTCTTATATTTCTTATGTTAGTCTGTAACTTTAAAAAGCTCTTCTATATTGTCATTAATAACTAATTGAAAACATTAAATGTCTTTGATATAAATGCACAATTGATCAAATCTACCTAAATATTAAAACTTTTGGTAACTACCAAACTTAAAAGAAAATTTTTATTGGAAATGCATATCATAATGAGATGGAAAAAGAAGAGACAGACTTCTAAGGCAAACAAAGGAAAACTCATAGCTTTTATATATTTTGTGATTATTCAGATAATTTAAGGAAAGGGATTTTAAGTATTACTCATATTTTTTTACATTGTGTATTATAAAAATGAAAGAGTAAAGAAGTGTTTATACAAATTAATTGTATACATAATTACTAATTATATATGTAATTAAATTGTCACTATAAGTGCAGTTTCGAGAGGTTGTATTGACCTTGTAAAACAGATTGAATATGTGTTTTCAAAATTTAGAGACATACCTATACTTCATGATTGAGTGCTTAAAGAAATATTTATCTTTTTTGTAGAGAGAGACCCTACATCTGTCTTATTTTTGGTTAAAAAAAAAACATGAAAGCTTCTGAAAACCTGATAGGACTTTGTTTTTATTGTTATCGATACTATTGATGAGCTGTGACTACATAAATCTAGATTATTCTTCAAACTTCTGAATTAAGTAGTCTTGATCCTGTCTCTCTACTGTTGCTTATGTTTGTATTTTGAAATAGAAGTTTGGAGTTTATTTTCACTTTGATTACAGATAATCAATATATAGAAAGGAGATGATCTTATGGTCAGCCACTGGGGAAAGGGAATGCTACTTGCTTCTCATAGTCCAGATGTCACTGAGGGGAATACCACAGAGAAGGCAGAGCAGGTAGTTTTTCAACCATTTAGCAGCTTAAAGAGAGATGTTTTGTTCTTCTCTCTGACCCTTGATTAAATTTCACCTTCCTGTCTAGCAGTAGGAAAGTAGGAGATTCATATGTACGGAATATCATTATTTTAAGAAGTTTTTCAGATTATACTGACTCTTTAAACTACTTTGGCTTTATTGTAGATATGTAAATTAAGCTACATTCAGTTTAGGAGCTTTTATTTTTTTAATTAAATCCCTTTCATTCTAGGAAGTTTACATGTCTTATATGCAATGGCCACATAATTACTAATTTTGCATTATATTTAGCAATTTATAGTGAAGATCCTGCTTTTGTTTGTGATAGAACTATATTGCCTAATGCCAATGTTTATATTCAATATTTGGGATACTCGGTCTTCTCTTTTCTCCAGTGAGATCCTATACTATATATTTGTTGTAGTTGATGTGGCCCATTCATTATATATTTTATACTGCATACTCTTACACATGAAACTATTGTCAAAAGTTTTTCAGTATCATGGCCTTTTTAATAAATGGTTTTAATGTAGGGAGTTAAATTGAATAGAAAATGCTCTCCTATATTTTACTCCAGGCAAAATTATAGGGATATTGTAAGTGAGATATGTGTTAGTTCCTGTAATAGGAATACTCATGGAAATAAAAACTATGAATTACATAGAGTTCAAGTTCTATTTTTTATGTTGCAAATAAACAAAATTAAAGGGTGACATATCATAAAGAAGTACTCACTATTCCCCAATTCCCTTTGAGGTAATTTTGAGTAAATATCGATAATACGTAGGGCACAGTTTTTTGATGTTACCATAGGAAATTGCTTTATAAAACTCCATTACTATTGCCAATTTTAGTTTTTACTACATATGATTTTCTTGCCTTGCCCTCTCATTTGGGAGGAGGTGGGGGTCTGGGCATGTGAGACCAGGCTAGTTTGAGTGGCTGGAAATGAAAGCAAATGTGCTTAGACTTAGACTATGCAGTGGTTTTGCCAAAAACTGGCCACATTCATTCCATTTCTACCAGAATCCTCTTAGAGACTTCAAAGGAGCACTGGTACATATGAGTTCTATTGAATAGAACTGAGCCCAGAACATCTTCCAGATACGCTAGCAAATAGTATATATCTGGTTAAAATTTTGTGCTGTTTTGAAAATGAAGGTGTGTTCCATGATGATTAAGATGAATTGTTATTCAGAAGTGATTCATTATTTACAAATATTTCATTGTTTTTCCAAATAATGGAAACAAATATTAAACATATTTCCAAATATTTCATTGTTTTTCAAATAATGGAAACAAATATTAAACATAATTGTGACCGGGCACAGGGTGGCTCACGCCTGTAATCCCATCACTTTGGGAGGCTGAGGCGGGCAGATCACAAGGTCAGGAGATCGAGACCATCCTGGCTAACATGATGAAACCCCGTCTCTACTGAAAATACAAAAGTTAGCCGGGCGCGGTGGCTGGCGCCTATAGTCCTGGCTACTCGGGAGGCTGGGGCTAGAGAATCGCTTGAACCCGGGAGGCGGAGTTTACAGTGAGCCAAGATCGCGCCACTGTACTCCAGCCTGGGTGACAGAGCGAGACTCCGTCTCAAAATAAAAATAATAGTAATAATAATAATAATGATAATTGTGGTTTTCATAGTATTTGCAAACAATACACTTAATTTTATAAGAGGAGGATTTTAAAAAGCTTGTTTATTTCCAAAATAGAAATACTTTAATGTGCTATTATTGGTAACAAACTTTAATTTCATCTTAAGACAATACCGTGTTATCTGGTTTTATTAGTATACGGTTATTAACTTAATTGGGGGGCTTCCCAAATTAATTGTCTTTATAAACAAATTCATGTGAAAATGAACTTGTTATAACATTCTACTGCTAATTTTCTATGCTAACATCTCAAGTCAAAAATCCAGGTTAGGAAAACAACATTAAATTGATTTATAATTTACTAAAAGATTGCTAGCTTTGAACCAAGTACTCTCAATTTGTAGAACACAAACATTTTTAATAAGTCTGTATGAACCCAAGTTTATTAAATAATAAGATTATATTGAAAATCTCCATATATTTACTTTTTCTTTGACTCATTGTATTTTGACAAAATCATCCAGTGTAAACTGTCTTTTAAAAAATTATCCTTATGTTTCATTTTCTGCTTGTTGTTGACATATGAAGCTTTACAACATTCATTATTTTTAGAGTATACACTTTTTCTTCATAACATATCTGGCTGTATACCTTTTGTGCTTTTTGGCCTTGAATTGGAATTATCTAATATCAAATTTGTCATTTCCTTTTGAGGTTTATTTGCTTGTTGAATCTTTTCTACTCATTCGTTTTTAGTTTTCTTGCGTGCTTTGATCTTAAGCTTGTGTCTTATCAATGATATATATGGCCTGTCCTCACTTTGCATGGTACGGTGTTAAGGGAAAGTCATGCACGATAGAACTGTGCCATCACTCTGCACCTTAGCATGGTTAAAGCTCCTAAATACACAACCTTCAGTTAACAAGGTAATGTGCAAAGCAAGAACAGCTTGTATTTTGATTTTTCTATTTTATCCTACCTGAAAGTCATTTATTTATTTTTAATATACAAGTGATAATCGTACATACTTATGGGGTACATAGTGATGTTTTGATACAGGTAATGTATAGTGATCAGATCAATTAGCATATCCATCATCTCAAACGTTTATCATTTCTGCGCATTAACAACATTCAGTATCCTTCAAAGCAAATTTTTAATGATCATAACTTATCATTTTACTGAAACATTCTATATTTTCTGTTTATTACATTTTTTCCTGACTTTTTTAGAATTTTCATTTTCTTGGCTTATCTTTTTTGTTCATCGCGTTCTAATAATATAATTGTTCCACAATATTAAAATGTAAAGTATAAGAATACATTTCTTTTGTCAGGTAAATATAGTCTAACTATAGACTTCAGTTTATATATATGAGTTCCAATTAATCATACTTAGACGTTGACCACAATACTACTGTTTTTCAAGTCTGTGCAAATACAGCAACAGTTTTTAACTAGTAAATGCTAAAATATTACTTGGAGTTATACTTCCTGCATTATTTGCATTAGAGCTTGACTAATCTGTATTAGAGGGTGACTTGGAGCACAAGTTCTTTGTTATCTTTGCATAGAATAGGGCGCTGTGTGGATGGTACGGCATTTAAGTCAGAACACCTTGAGTTACATTTAACTTCTTCTTACTATAAGCTTTGCGACTTTGTGTATTACTTATCATTCTGAATAGCCATTTTGTTATTTGTGAAATGAAATTAATATCACTAATATCCTAAGTTTTTTGAGAACATTAAGACAATATATATGACTGTTCATTGTCCGACATATGTTTTAATAGCTACTCCTTCTGTGATTGTGGGTGCTATTGGATCAAGTCCTAACTGTTTTCATTAGGTGGAGTGGAAGCCACATAAGATGGGGACAGCCATTCCGACTACGCCATGTCACAACAGGAAAATACTTGAGTCTCATGGAAGACAAAAACCTTCTACTCATGGACAAAGAGAAAGCTGATGTAAAATCAACAGCATTTACCTTCCGGTCTTCCAAGGTGAGACAGAAAATATTTTGGGTTTCCTATAAATGTTACCCGGTCATATTTCCTTTGATGTTAGAAAGGAGAAAAGAAATGAGAAAATAAATGATGTAAGTATGTCTTATGTGTATTTCTAAATTCCCAGTTTCTCTTCCATACATTCCTCTCTGGTAAAACTGACTTTTCTAAACCATTAAAACCTGCCTATAGAAACAATCTAAATGTACAATAAAGGGTAATGATTACATAAAGGGTAATGATTGCATAAATCATACTGTATACATACATATTGGGATAGTATGAAGCTGTCAAAAATATAAAACATGAAAATACCTATTATACGTCATCAAATGAAAGGTGTTTCATGTCGTTTACAGTTCTTAAAACACATCCATCCAGCTCCTTCCTGTTTTCTTAAGCATTGACAGTATACAGTGACCACAGATATTGGGATGTTTTTGGGTTACAGTGTGAGGATAAAGCACACTGGAATCTGTGTCTCAAAGATACATTTATACATCCATTCTTATATGCGGACCTTCATCCTTAACCCTATTGAATCATTTTTATGATAATTGCTATATTCGTCCATTTTCACAGTGCTATAAAGAAATACCTGAGACTGGGTGATTTATAATGAAAAGGAGTTTAATTGACTTATACTTCCGCATGGCTGGGAAGGCCTCAGGAAACTTACAATCATGACAGAAGGGGAAGCAGGCAGGTCTTACATGGAGGCAGGTGAGAGAGAGAGCAGGAGAGTGAGTGTGAAGGAGAAAGCGTCAAACACTTAAAAAAACCATCAGGTCTCACGAGAACTCACTCACTGTCAGGGGAACAGCATGGGGGAAACTCGCCCCATGATCCAGTCACGTCTTTCCCTCGAGACGTGGAGATTACAAATTGAGATGAGATTTGGGTGGGGACACAGAGCCAAACCATATCAATTGCATATTTCTGTTCATAATTTAATGAAGATTGTGAAACTTGGGAAAGATGATTGGAACAATATTAAACTACTAACTAGCTTTCATCTTAGAAAGGCAAAACTTTGTTCTTTTAAATAGATAAAGATTTGACTTTGTATTTCTGCAATTACTACATACTCATCTAGGTATAGGCATCTTCACAGTGTTATTCAGGGCTCATTGAAAAGAAAAAAACGTATTACTTTGTTTTTTCACTGCTAGGAAATTCTTAGTATTCAATCGCCTTTCCCATATTTTGTATGCTGGCCCAATTCAAGTTGGATTTTTGATAACAATGTTATTAGATGAGGAAAAGATGTTAAGTACCATGTATAATATATTCAAAACAAGGTCATGATTTGGCTTAGTAGAACTACAATACATGCACTACAATGCTTTTTCAATACTGGATTAGGTTTAAATTTTTACTTTGCCCCTCTCTAGAGATCTATATGTTAGGTAAAATCTTCTAAATATTTTACAAGCATTAACAAATGATTATTTCCTATTTAGGTAAAGCGTTTACCCTAAAAGACCAATTTTCTGTATGCTTAATAAATTCCATTTTATTAATCTTATAATGGTGTCCTGTCACAGCATAGGATTGGCAGCATAAACATAAATATTTATTGAACTTTGAAGGTGTCCCACAGAACTTCTATTTGCAGTTGTCACTGGAGGCCACTGACCACTTTATTTCTACAGTAGGTCTATGGCCTGGATTGCTCCAGTGAGTGCAGGAAATAGAGAACATTAATTTTGCTAATTATGAAAATAAACTATTTCACTATACTCTTAATAATGTATTTCATATAAATAATGTCTAACAAGAAAACATATTCATTATTTAGAGTGATAATTGTAACAAAATTAAAAGTAGTTATTTACAACTACTTAAAAGTTTTTTAGTGCTTTAATCATATTTCATTTCTTCTGATTTTGAAAGCAGTACATGTTGGTCTTTGAAAGTTTAGAAAATACAAAAAAAAGTAGGAGTAAGAACTACCTAATTATGCAGAATATCAACGTTTTGATGAATTTCCTTCCTAATCATTTTTCTTTTGCTGTGTAAACGCACACAACCTTGCAACATGGGGATATAGGGATCACCAACACCCCTCCCCCATGCAATTGAAATCTACATTTTGACTCTCCAAAAACTTAACTACTATAAAGAAGGCTGGGTGTGGTGGCTTACACCTGTAATCCCAGCACTTTGGGAGGCCGAGGCAGGTGAATCTGACCAACATGGTGAAACCTCGTCTCTACTAAAAATACAAAAATTAGTCGGGCGTGGTGACATGTGCCTGCAGTCCCAGCTACTCGGGAAGCTGAGGCAGGAGAATCGCTTGAACTCGGGAGGCAGAGGATGCAGTTAGCTGAGATCGTGCCACTGCAGTCCAGCCTGGGCGATAGAGCAAGACTCTGTCTCAAAAAAAAAAAGCTATAAGGAAGATAAAATATATTTTCTATGCCTTAGGTGGAAGTGGACCATCAACAAAATTGGTCCTTGTTTTCATGTTGTGTAGGCTGAGGAGGAGGAGGAGGAAGAAGAGGGGCTGGTCTTGTTGTCTTAGGGGTGGCAGAGATGAAGGAAAATGCATGTATAAGTGGACCTGCACAGTCCAAATACATGTCGTTCAAGAATCAACTGTACATTACAAAATATGACTATAGTTTGGTGTTCTGCTTTCATTTGAGGATGTATAGTAGGTATTTTTATATTTTATATTTTTGACAGATTCATACTATCCCAATATGTATGTATACACTCTGATTTATGCGATCATTATTCTTTATGTAATCATTACCCTTTATTGTACATTTAGGTTGTTTCTATAGTTATATACATATATTCATATATATATATTATTATAAATAAAACTCAAACCAAAATAAGGTGTGGGGAGACCAGAAGTAATTCTGAAAAGACAGTATCCTGAATGAACATTCCCAATGCCTTTCTCTTTCAACTCCTGTTCTGGGTTATACCGAATGGTAGCAGATGCCTCTGATTCTATGAGTTAACTGGAGAGCTCCAGGAAAGACAGTCAGGGTAGGTCTTTATTCTCCATTGTGAAAATAGAGAGGCACAGCTGGTAAAACCTCATTATCCTTGCAAAGCATCTGTATCTATATATTTGCTCTGTGGACTCTTAGAGGGCCTCTACAGTGGGCCAGAATTGCTCCTTGTCTCTGTAACTGGAAAGCACAATTAATCCCATTATGGGGACATGGGCTTCTTTCTTAAATCTAGCTAGCAGAGGGGTGGGAATTTGCTAGTTTATCTACTGATAGCACCTCCGTCCAGAAAGAAAAAAGTTCAACCCACTAAAGAAGAACCAATTATTTGATGGTAGAAACCCTTTTCAAGTAAAGAAGGTGGTACCTATTAAAATGGCATTCAGCTTATTGACAATAAATTAGAAAAACTAGAAGAAATTGATATCCTTCCAGCAAAATATAACATACCCAAATAAAATCTCGAAGAAGTAGAAAAACATGAACCGGTACATCACAGTGGAAGACATTGGAATGATTTGCCAAATTTGAGTATTTTAAAAAGCTGGGAGTCTGTGGTGGGAGGATCTCTTGAGCTCAGGAATTTGTGGCTGCAATGAGCTATGATCATGCCCACTGCATTCCAGCCTGGGCAACACAGTGAGACCAAGACTTTATAGAAAAACTAAAAATAAAAAAATTAACAGGCAAAATACATCTAACGAAAATTGGAGGAAAAAGAGGAAGAGTGAAAGGTACGGTAGGTGCTCCAGTTGCCTTCTATGAAACAAACATCAAAGATCTTCTTAAGATTGAAAACTCAAGTAATGGAAGCATAAATACTTAACAGCCAAAAAGGAAACACTCAAATATAATACCATTTACTAAAACAAGATGATGGAAGAGAGAAAAGTTGGTGAGAGAAAGAGGAACACGCTACCTTCTTCATCATGCGTAATCCAGCCTAATAAAAAGAAGTAAAGTGTTACTAAAGAGTCAGAGACATAAACACAGATGCAGGCATGCAGACAATGAGGAAAATGAGACCACAGAGCGAATGGCTCTAAAAAAAGGTATGAAAACAGAAAACCTAAAATATGACACAGTGAAAACCTAAAATATGGCCCACTCTATTTGCTTATCAATATATATAAATGGACTGTATCACAATTTAAAATTAAAATAATTTCATATTTGGGCATGCAGCATAAATTATGCTGACATTAAGAGGCACATCTAAAACAACTTTATTTGGAAAGATTGGAAATAAAAAGATGGCTAGTGGAATACCAAGAAAATACAAACAGGCCAGGTGCGGTGGCTCACTCCCAGCACTTTGGGAGACCAAGGCAGGTGGATCACTTGAGGTCAAGAGTTCGAGACCAACCTGGCCAACACAGTGAAACCCTGTCTCTACTAAAAATACAAAAATTAGCTAGGCGTGGTGGCATGCACCTGTAATCCCAGCTGCTTGGGAGGCTGAGGGAGGAGAATTGCCTGAACCTGGGAGGCAGAGGTTGCAGTGAGCCTAAATTGTGCCACTGCACTCCAGCCTGGGCAACAGAGCAAGACTCTGCCTCAAAAAAAAAAAAAAAAAAAAAAAAAAAAAAGATATCTGTTCTTAATATCAGATGAGGTGGAATTCAGGCAAACTAAAGCATTGCAGGAGACAAAAAAGGATATTGCATGGTATTGAAGAGTGCAAGATAGTATTCGTAAAACAATAAAAAGTGGGCAAGGAATATGAACAGACACTTTTCAAAAGAAGATATTTATGTGGCCAAGAAACATGAAAAAAAGCTCAACATCACTGATCATTAGATAAATGCAAATCAAAACCACAATGAGATACCAACTCATACCAGTCAAAATGGTGATTATTAAAAAGTCAAGAAACAACAGATGCTGGTGAGGCTGTGGAGAAACAGGAACGCTTTTACATTGTTGTTGGGAATATAAATTAGCTCAACCATTGTGGACGACAGTGTGGTGATTCCTCAAGGATCTAGAACCAGAAATACAATTTGACCCAGCGATCCCATTACTGGGTATATACCCAAAGGAATATAAATCAGTCTATTATAAAGATATACATATACCTGTTTATTGCAGCACTATTCACAATAGCAAAGACATGGAATAAACCCAAATGCCCATCAATGATAGACCAGATAAAGAAAATGTGGTACATACACCATGGAACACTATGCAGCCACAAAAAGGAATGAGATAATGTCCTTTGAAGTGACATGGATGAAGCTGGAAACCATCATCCTCAGCAAACTAACACAGGAACAGAAAACCAAGTGCTACATGTTCTCACTCATAAGTGGGAGTTGAACAGTGAGAACACATGGACACAGGAAGGGGAACATCACACACCAGGGCCTCTCGGTGGGGCGGGGGTGCAAGGGGAGGGAGAGCATCAGGACTAATAGCTAATGCATGTGGGGCGTAAAACCTAGATGATGGGTTGATAGGTGCCGCAAACCACCATGGCACACTTATACCTATGTAACAAACTTGCACATTCTGCACATGTATCCTGGAACATTAAAAAAAAAAAAATACAAGTCACTGAAGTTGTAAGTTGTTAAATTTACATAACAAATAAATATAGGGTAGTACTAGTATTTATAAAACAAAATCTCCAGGAGCTACGAGGAGAAACAAACAGAAAATCTTAGTATTAGGAGATATCAAGTCACCTTTTCTCAGTTCATGATACGCACACACACCACACACCTCACACCACTGAGGGCTTTATGGTGTGTGGAGAGCTGCCGCAGAAGCCCTACCCTTAATTGGACATTCATTTTGTTCACTCAGGAATATTGCAGGGCTGACTTGAGCGGGACTGGGAACTGGGAACATGCCAACAGTTAGTGCCCTCAGAGCTTGGGAGGGTGTTCAGGAAGCAGGGACCCTGTCCTCCCACACTCCTTGGCTTTTTAAATAAAAGAATTGCTGCCATTCTGTGATTCCTTGTAAGTCAGCCAACAGAGCTGAGCATTCTCTCTAGTTGATCTCACTGAGTATCAGGACCCCCATTTTACAGATGGGGAAAACCAACGCAGGGAGGATGAGTCACTTGACCAAGTGGCCGGGCTAGGAACACAGAAGAATCGGTGGACACAGGGTTATCTCTGCACCAAAACAACTGGCCAGGGTGGGGTGGTTACATATAACTGGGCTGTAGCTTTCCAGGCTGGCTGGTTCACTCATTCAGTTCACCCCAGGCTGTAAGGACTGCCATGGGAGCCTGAGGCAGATGCTTGTCCTGTCAGGGCCTCACCCAGCTAAAGTGTCACCCCACCCCTCCACAGACTGCTGCCTGACCCTGTGTCTAACTGTGATCTCTCAAAATCCTCCCTTTCCTGCAGAAAGCTGAATAGAGTCCATCTTTCTCATTTGATTCTTTCTCTAGTAATCCTAATCCTCCTGGAGGTTGATGAATGCCTGTGACAAAGCAGGTGATTCACATGGAAATGGAAATGCAAAAAGGGAAAAGTATATTAACATACTTCAAAAATATTCTTACTTATATAGCCTTTCATCTGTTGATCTATGTATTTTTAAGTTGTGGTTGGGGGTGGGAGGGTACTGTCTTAGAAAAATAAAGTGAAAACTTGTAGGTAAAAATATACGTGCAAGTTAATTTCATCTTTCTTTGTCATGCCAAAAAAATGGAAAAGTCACACATTTGCAATAAAGATTATTCTATATCTATAATATTAAATGGTATTAGCTGTCAAAATATATTAATCTGGAAAGATATTCTTGTAAATATTGTTGAATAAAACAACATTTTATTGGAAGTATTTTTCATGGCTATCTTTCCAGATCAATATATATCAATATATTGTTATATATATTTCCAGATCAATATATATTGTTAGGTATATAACATATATAACATTCATATATATAACATATATGACATCTATATAACATATAACATATATAGTCATATGTTTTATATGTTATATCCATAACATATGTTATATGCATAACAATATATGTTGAATATGTTATATACATAATATATATTGATCTGGAGATATGTATAACAATATATTGATCTGGAAAAATATCCATGAAAATATTGTTCAGTAAAATATTGTTTTACTCAACATTTTGAGTTGTAAATTGTAATATAGGTATTGCAAATCTTATGATAGATTTTAATGTAATCTATTGTTGTAATATTAAAGGTATTACAAATATTTTTGTAATTAAAAAGAAATCTTCATACTTGTGTTTGTATATGATTTTATGGTAGTTGTGGAAGGATATACACTAATCATTTAACTCACAGTATTTTAGAAAGATCAAAATGGAAGCTGTATGAGAATATGAAGACAGAGAGAAATTTTTTCTTTAACTTAAAAAATGTATCTCTGGATTATTTTGGCTATTACAATAGTCATATTTATTTTACAATGAAATCAGTTAAAGATAAAAACCATTGCACTGACATTCTGGGACATAAGTTCTGTGCACATTTTTGATTTGTTTATTTAGGATGGATTCCTACAAATGGAAATAGTGACTTAAAAGCTGTGAATATTTTTGAATGTTCTTGATAGAGATTGCCCAAAGCAATAGCTTTTGAAACCTTTTTCTCTGAATATCCCTCCTAATATTCTCTCCATGTTAGAATAGGGCTCATATTTGAGGACTTTTGACTCTCCAGATCCTTCTGTGATTTCTGCTCAGGGATTCTGTTTCTGGAATTTGGCAATTGTGTAATGTCACAGGTTGCATGGAGGTAGAGAGGCCGAAGAGCCCAACTCAACTCTTCTTTAACTGAGCAATTTAGTTTCTCTGAAGCTACTTTCCTGCCTGGTGTTCATGGAACCACTCGAGTGTACAGGTTAATAACGCTTCCATGCTTCCAGCCACTTCATTCATACAGGTAATTTCATATGATGAAGTGGTTGAAGGCAGTGAAAGTGAAGGTGAGATTTCAAGAGAAATATTTTTTAATCACAGTATATTTTTAATTTTAGTATCACTGGAAGATTAGATAATAAATTTTTTCCCATGAACTAGAGACACTAACTCTTCCAATTATTTCTTTTAAAATGACTTCTTCTATTATATATTTAATGCATAGTCATTACAGAAAAATGTAAAGGTAGTACAAAGATGGAGAAAGGAGAAAAGTAAATCCATCACTCAGAAACAACCTCTTGTGTGTATTTGAGTTGTAAGCAAATATTACATATTTTGATGATGAACAGTGTTAATTATATATGATTTTGGGCCTAATTTTTATTTAATAACATATACTACTATATTCTTTAATAGAATTTGGCAATAATTCAACATCTTATTACATAGATTTATCATAATTCATGCAGCTACTTTATTATATTTGAATATTTAGCTTATTTTCAATTTTTCACTTTTAAGCTGAATATTTTTATCTCTGAATATTTCTATATATTGCTGACTACTTCTTTTTTGGAAGTTGTACTATTTGGTCTAAAAATGTGAAGATTTCAAGTGTTTGGTACTGGAGGCTCTCAGAGGGCAGAACAGTATCTGTTTTGTTCACCATGGATAGTGCAGTGCCTGACACTTAGTGGGGATTGCTAAATGTCCCTAGTGAGTGAATGCACCTGGCCAAAGTACTCTTCAGAACTTTGCACCAGTATTTATTCTAAGCAGCAGGGTATGAAACTTTACATTTCTGTGCGACTCATCAACAGATGATTTTAAAATCTGATAATTTTGATAGATGAAAAATCAGTTATATCTTATTTTATATTCTGTGAGTAAGTTAACCTCTTTAACTGTAAAGCTCCTATCATTTTAGAAGCAAATTATAATGATTTAGTATTCCCATGAATGAAACAAATGCCACAGTAAGCAATTTTTAGCAAATGGTCTTTTTTTTTTATTCATTTCTTGGAACGCATGTGGCTTTTACAAGCAGATGAATTTGAATTTTCCTTCCCTTCATTCCATGTATCCCAGAGCAATGACTTTAGGCTTTTTTTAAAAAAAAATGCCTTTTACAGTTTAATCTCGAGTGTACTTCAGATTATTCAAGGCATTTAATATATCTTAAATATATATGCATCTCCTAATATTTCAAATGAGCTCCGAATCATAACTTGTAGGGACAGAAACAGAATCAATAACAACAATATGTTTTCAATTGGGAACTTCTGAATGTACTAGCAAAGCTACTCTAAGACTGGGCATAAATATATTCAGTTGGGAATGGAAAGAAAATTCTTATTATCTGGTGAGTCGAAGTGGTATAGGGGGATTTGATTCTCCTGACTCAGTCTTCTCTGGGAAGGGAAGGGATGGACATTTTTTATGCCCACTTCCAAATTCTTCGAAATTCTGCTCATGTCCTAACTTGAGCTTTCTGTAATCATGGTTAGTGTCTTTCCAATTAGGGCTGTCTCTGGATATTACAAATTTGGAATTTAAAAAATGACTTTTGTTTACAACAATGCCTGACATCCAAGACTATAGTCTGGAGCTGGTGATTCAAATTCCTATTTCGTTGGTTAAAAGTAGAGCAGTGGTGTCTTTTTCTTACATCTGTTTTTCTGTCATCACTATCATTATCATCAGCATCATTTTCTTAAAGCAAATTAATGCTTCTGGATAACTTACTTCCTTTAGAATGCACAATACTCTTTTTGTTGTTTTTTTTTTTTTACCACTGTATTTTAAATTTTCTAATTCTTAGATCCCTGATTTTCAGAAGTTTGTAGATACCAATAACTTTATAAGAGGAGAGCTATAATTTAAATAAATTTAATTAAAACTATCTGCTAATTAAAATGTTTAGGTGACTGTGTGTGGGGGGGGGTATCTTAAAGAAAAGAACAAATTAGTGTGTGATTCTTGTGTAATATTTTACCCAATTTTGATTGGTAGAAAATTGGTTTTAAAATAGAAGGCATTTCTGATACTAGAAAAGTAGTTAAAATCCAGCTACAAGGTACAGAAAAAAGGGCTGTGGAACTAACATAATTTGATAGTTTAGTTTCATTTAAAATAAGTTACAAAGCACAAATAGGTATCTCAGGAAAAAATAAATGGCACAGAAACACATATCTAAAACTACACTCACATATACAGACGTGAAAAATTAGAGTAATTGATAGTGCTGATTATATTTATAATAGAATCTTGTTTTGATTGGAAGCCCAATGACATAAAAATCCATTCATGCTGAAAAGTATTTTCTGCAATTATATAATAAAGCAGCATTGAACTTATAATTATTGAAACACAATAAAAAGAGACCTTGATTAAAGATGAAAATATATATATTTTTAAGATATTGTTTCACATTGTCAACATTTCAGAGAAAATAGAATAGCTCAACAGATTCACTTAATCCCTTTGTTAGTCATCACATTTGATCATGGTCTCTGTTCTTTAAAATACATATTGGATTCACTTAAAGGTATATTTGATACTTTTTCCCCACCTCAGTGTTACTGGTAGGTTGAAAATTCTTGCCCTCTCTTTACATACTTCTGCCACATTTCCCATGAAGAAGAGTTATACTGTGGAAGGCAAACACTTTTTAAAAAATGACGTAACATATATCTTAGACCTTAGATCTTAGACATGTATCTTCTACCATATTTCCCATGAAGAGTACTTACATTATGAAAGGCAAACACTTAAAAAAAATGATGTAACATATATCTTAGACCTGAGGTATACTTTGAGTATGCAATAGTGAACTGACTGCTGGTTGACATAATTACTGTGTTGCAAATCAAGATTTATTACTGATGGAAAATCAAACTTTTCTAGGTCAGTTGCAAATCTCAGCTTTCATCTGGGTTTAGGAGTTTTGGTTTTGAAATTCTGAAAAGAAAATCAATTCTTGTGAACCCTTGCATTTACCTGAGCAGTCCCTTACCCCTAACTGTGTGAGACGGTATTGAAAGTATAAGTACATTTGGAAGATTTTATAAATCATTAAGATCATTTTAACTTTAGATTTTAAAGGTGAGACTGGCTTTAAAATTCCATGTTGCTAGTTGACATAAGGAGCATTTCCTCAATTGTCATTGGGGTGTCTTTGACAGTAATGTGAACATTCACCAGCCAGTCTCAAATACAGGATTTGAGGGAAGAATCAACAATTGCTGGCAACCCTATATATTCAGAAAAAAACTGAATAAAATAGGAAATCATTTATAATGTAACCTACTTTGGTTTTCTTTTAAGGAAAATATCTTACATAACGAAGAATGCTATTTGATAAATGTAGATTTTCTTAGAAATATTCTTCACTTTCTCTATTCCTAGAAGTTGTAACCATTGTTTTCAAGTGTGTTGAAATGTTTGTTTTAATCATAAGGCAGGTCTTGCCAATCATATGTGTATCCAATCCCCAACCCTCCAGATAAAATTTTTTAGCTTAAAATGCCACTGAAACATTTCTCTGTAGGCGATTTCCTCTGGTTTTTCCTCCCTGTGTACAATGAATAGAAGTCTTTTGCTATGGAAATGATGGAATAACAGTTTCAAATAAGACTGTCAATGAGATTACAAGAATTGTGGAACAAATGTAAAATATAAAACTTTTTTTTTGAGACAGAGTCTCTCGCTCTGTCACTCAGACTGGAGTGCAGTGGCAAGATCTTGGCTCACTGCAACCTCCACCTCCCAGGTTCAAGCAATTCTCCCACCTCAGCCTCCCAAGTAGCTGGGACTATAGGCATGCACCATCACACCCAGCAAATTTTTGTAGTTTTAGTAGAGACGGGGTTTCGCCATGTTGCCCAGGCTGGTCTTGAACTCCTGAGCTCAAGTGATCTGCCTGCCTCGGCCTCCCAAAATGCTGGGGTTACCCAGGCATGTGCTACGATGCCAGACTAAAACATTTTAAAGACATTTTTACTATATTATTTTTATCTGGATTTTTTATTTTTCATTCAGAATATGTTTCAGATGTTTTAAAATGTACACTTTCACACAGTGAAAATAAAGGTAGAGGTGAATAACTTACTATGTGTCAAACAATGTGCTGAGCACCTTTCATGCATTATCTTATTTAATCCTAACACAACTGTATGGAGTTAAGATGCTGTTTTTTTATCTTTATTATGCAGTTGAGGAAACTGAGGCTTAGACAAGTTATGTGGCAGAACCAAACTTAACTACATAGTAAGACTAAAACCCTCTTTAGTAAGAAAACTAAAGATTTTATAAAGAACTTGTAATTTTTTTTCTTATCAAAACAGTTATACAAAGTTACCCATGGAGATGAATTTTGCATTTACTTGGGATTAAATTCAAAAGAAATTTTTGCAGTAGTCTTTTCTCAAGGGGCATTGATACACTGATAAAATAGTGCCAATTATGGTTTTACAGAAGATAGAGAAATTCAGTTATAGTTGTATGCTGGTCTTTTTTAACGACTGTAAGAACGAGAATGAACCCATTGAAGCCTTCTGTGATTAACATATCATAATTTGATAGTTTAGTTTTATTTAAACTAAGTTACAAAACACAAGTGGTTGTCTCAGGAAAAAATAGATGACACAGAAATACATATCTAAAGCTACATTCTCATATATGGAAACATTGTGACGAATTAGAGTAATCAATCAGGGTTCAGCCAGAGATGCAGAACCAGTGGAGATATGTATATATTAAGGCATTTATTATATAGGTTTGCTTAATGAGATTGTGAGGGCTGGGTAAGTAAGCCTGACACCTGCCGTGCAAGTGGTCTGGCCAGGATGATTATGATCAGGCTGGAATCCTTAGGCATGGGCTGATGCTGTTGGCCACAGGTGGTAAGGAAGAGAGAACCAAGAGCAGGGTAGAGTCCCATGGAAACTAGCTGTAGTTTATGTGCTCAGGGAAAGCCTGAACCCTTTGAAAGAGCTCACCTGGTTAAGTATCATCCACCTTGGATAATCTCTCGTTTGATTTACTCATAGTCAATTGATAAGGAACCTTAATTACCTCTACAAGATCCCTTGACCTTTGCCATCTAAGGTAACCTCATTGCAGGAGTGATATCCTGTTCTATTCATTGGTCCCACGCACACTCTAGGGGAGGGTATTGTACGGGGTGTTAGAGGGCTGTTATTTAGGCACTGTGACCTTAAGCTTTGTGGCTACGGCTGTGGAAGCCCCTCATAGACCCCTTCAGCATGAGAAACTTTAAAAATCCTTTCTTTCCACAAACTCACTTACCAGAGTAACTTCTCCTGAGAAGCCGAGGGATAATGTGTGATTTTCCTTTTTTTTTTTTTTTTTTTTTTTTGCATTTCTGTCCTGGAAGGGCTAACTAAGCCTGGCCTGGCCTGTCAGTACCAGTCGTTTCTCTTACCACGTAACATTTTTAGACTTTCTTTTCACAGTGACCAACTATTCTGGGCTGCAGTGCGGCACCATAAAGGAGCAAATAAAAAAATTCTTTTGACTTTTTAATTTTTTTCTAACTTTAATCATTATTTGTCTTAAAGAGACCTGGCTATTAAGAAATCAATAAAAACTCCATCATCTGAGGATCTATTAGTTACCTGATAGAGTAATTTGGATAGACATACGGATGATTTTAACTATGCTAGAAGAATTCCTCTGAACCGCATGCTCTGTATTATAAGAAATAATTCTATAGGACTAGTTTTAGTCTTTTACTGAGTCTAGTTTTATATATCTAGTATGTATATATCACTTAGTATATCTATGTGTATAAGGCCACAGTTCTTCAGAAATAGGTATGGCTTCATTATGAGTCAGGTTGGTATACCCAATGCCAAATATTACTTAATACTTTTCAGACCAATCGTTTTTACATCTGGGTCTATTTTATTTATTTATTTTTTATTTTTATTTTATTTTTTTGAGATGGACTCTGGCTCTGTTGCCCAGGCTGGAGTGCACTGGCGCAATCTCGGCTCACTGCAAGCTCTGCCTCCTGGGTTCACGCCATTCTCCTGCCTCAGCCTCCCAAGTAGCTGGGACTACAGGCACCCGCCACCACGCTCAGCTAATTTTTTATTTTATTTTATTTTTAGTAGAGATGGGGTTTCACCGTGTTAGCCAGGATGGTCTTGATCTCCTGACCTCATGATCCGCCCACCTCGGCCTCCTAAAGTGCTGGGATTACAGGCGTGAGCCACCGCGCCCAGCCACATCTGGGTCTATTTTAATATTCATTTGAAAATTAGATGTTCCAAGCACTTACGAATGGGATTATTTGAATGCTCATAATGGGAGTAGTTTGTCAGCACAGTTTTTATGGGAAATCTGAAGGGATTTCCAGAAATTCATCAAGGATCTGACATTTGCAGGCTGTTCTGGTCCTGAGGTTATGTGGGGTCAGGCTGGAGGAATCAGACATATGATTCCTGCTGTCAAAAAGGTGAATGATAGTCAAGTGGAAAGAAGACAATTGAGGAACAGTTTTAACAAAGTGCCAACATTTCCCTGATAGTGAAAGTACAACATGCTATGAGAGTACATGAATGAAAAGAGAAAATATCCATACGCACCTCTTAGACTGAAAAAGCAGTGCTTGCAATAATTCTAGACTGTGCTGAAAAGAGTCATTTTATCTTTGAGTATTTTTATAGCTCTTAAGGTCTCAAGATTATTCTTGCAGGATAGAAGACTATAAAAGTTAAAAATTTACAGGTTTTAATGAATAAGATAATGCTTATAAGATAATGCTAAGATTAGGAGGATCTTGACATTTTCTTGATTAAATGTAGGAGGCATAGGAATTAAATTTTATATAGTCTTTTGAAGGAGGTTTCCATTTAATAGCAAAATACTTAAGCTAGAGTGTTTTAATGGCAATCTGATCTACAGATTGAAAAATTTCTACTGATTAACTTTTAATTTCATTAACTCTTTTTTATACAATTCCAATCTGATGCTAAGCTGACCCAGTTAATTTTGTATTTAAATTATTTTCATTTTTCTATTTCATTTATTTTTGTGATGTATAATTTAGCTCTATTCATTATGTATGTGTTTTCCTTTATATTTTTGAACATATTTTATATTTATAATAGTTGCTGTAAAGTCCTCGTCTGCTAGTTGTAGGATCTGGGCCATCTTTGCATTGATTTGTATTGCCTATACTCTTGTTGTTTTTGTTTTTCCAAAAAATATAGCTCACATTTCTAGTTTCTTTGTATCTGCTTATTTTTGACAGTATATTGGATATTGGGAATGATATGTAGTAGAGGCTCTGAATTTCAAGTTTTTTTCTGAAGAGTGATTTTGGTTTTGCAGGCAGTTAACCTTGTTGGGTTGAAACTTCAGTTTTCTCTCTTTTACATGAGGAGTTGCTTATATTTTTACTCAAATCTTTCAGCTTCCATCTGTTGCCATTATACTGGACTTTCCTCCAGCATACATAGTCAGCAGAATTTGGATAATTTTTTTACAAAGATTTTGTAGATAACTTTGTGTCCAGGATTTAGCCCATCTAATTATTTTGTTGCTTGTGGTCCCTGAAGCATATCCTCTGATACCTCAAGCCCATAAAGCAGCAGATTGCTGCTGCCAGAGTAGCAGACAGATTGGGCACTGCATGCCCCAAGGCAAAAGGCAGCCACCTACCAATCACGCAAGGTGCTATTTGTCTTTTGAGAGATCTACTTTTCAATTTCTTCCTGCTTTTGGTCCAAGTGCCTTTAAGTCAATTCTTAAAAGGATTTTTTCCAAATTTTATAATAGTTTCTATAGGAGAATTCACTCCAGTGAATTACTTCATCATTTTCCAAAGTAGAACAACTCAAAAGAAAAATAAAATTTAAAAGCTGATGCCAAAATTAAGGCCATTAATATAGATATGGTACAGCTAATACAGAGTTTTAGTAAGATTATTACTTGCCTAATCTGAGCACTTTATTTCCAGTAATACAGGCTACTATTCTGTTGGATGCTTTTACTAGATGTCACATTTGTTGTTCATGCTGTACTTCAGCTTACGGTCATTCAAAGGATCTAGATTATTTTCATCTGAATTTCTCCTAAGCCTGAGCTACAGAAAATGACAGGAGATAAAGAAGGAAAGAACATGGATGGCCTTTGGTCTTTCATTCAGCAAGTGTTCTCACTTATTTTTTCTAATGTAACTTCAGCATTTTTTACCTCACTCAAGGGTCATAGTAATTATTAAAACAGTCATCGGCCGGGAGCGGTGGCTCACACCTGTAATCCCTGCCCTTTGGGAGGCCGAGGTGGGTGGATCACCTGAGTTCAGGCGTTTAAGACTAGCCTCACCAACATGGTGCAATCTGTCTCTACTAAAAATACAAAAATTAGCAGGGTGTGGTGGTGGGCGCCTGTCGTCCCAGCTACTCGGGAGGCTGAGACAGCAGAATTGCTTGGAACCAGGAGGCTGAGGTTACAGTGAGCTGAGACTGTGCCACTGCATTCCAGCCTGGGTGACAGAGAAAGACTCCATCTCAAAAAAAAAAAAATCATCATCACGATATTTCACAATTAAATCTTCTAATCCAGAGACGGATGTGAAATACATCAATAAAATACAAAGAAAGCATAATTTCACAATTAATGTTTACGTGACTTCTTAATATATAATCCATGCACCCATAAATAGTCTAGACACAAACCAATTTGCTTGAAGAAAAGACCAAAAAAAAAAAATGTTAGAGGCTCACTGTTCTATTCTGAAGAGATAATTACAGTGTTCTATTTTTATCACAGAATTTAATTTTTCTATTGACAGGGTTGGTAAAAGTAGATTAGTAGTTTATCTAGGTTGATAGAATGAAATTGGAATGGTTTTATTGTCTGTTTTATTACAGATACTTAGAATAGTGTTTCAGGTTATTTGCATAATGATTGAATCAACTTAATTGATAATTATATATTTTCTTAGTTGACCTTGACATTTTGTGTTAAAAATTTCAACTCATTTTAATTTTAATTTTCAATTGTTTATGGAGTGTTCATAATCATTTTCAGGTCATTAATTATTAATACATTATGCAAATGACATGAAAAATCTGTTAAACCTTGGGGTTATTTTAAAATTGTTCGTTTTTGTTTAGCAGACATACATTTTACTCTGACTGAATCTTCAAAACATTCGTTTAACTATAATTCTAAATAAAAGTCATAAGACCAAAGACATAGAAGACACGTAAAGTAAATTAACAAGGAAGGTTAGACCAAGGAAGAAAAAAGAATAAGAGACTAAAGAAAGGAGGTACCTTTGGCTTTTTCATTGCTGCTTTAGGGACTGTACAGGACTTTAAGACATAGTGAGTTCCTGAAGATCACAGCTATGCATGGGAGGAAAAATGGAAAGAGTATGTTGGAGGAGGAAGTGCTGACATAAACAGAGATTTGAAAAAAACATTTGGCTGGTGTCAGAGGATGGATTGCTACTTCCTAGGAGAGGAAGCTTGGCATAGTAGTCCTTTAAGAGTGAATACCTCTGTAGTCTGAGTTGGAAATTGCAGTAGTAGAAACTGAATTTTAGCTTTGATTAGTTCAAAATAAATAATCATTTTAATAGGTTCATTAACAATCGTTGTCACCGTTATTATTGTCAAAGTTGTCAAAAAATTTTGAAGTGTTTATCCCGGGGACACTATTCTGAAATCTACATGCATTATCTTAATTTTTTTTTGATCCTATGGAGAGGTACCTTATTAGCTTTATTTATGGATGAGAAAACTGAGGCTTAAAAGGTTTAATTAACTTGCTAACATCTTAGAGGTAATGAGTGGCAGAGGCTGGACTCAAAATTAAATCTCTCTGTCCCCCAAATCTATGCTCTTAATCACTAATAATGAAAAAAAAAAATCCACAAAAACCCAGGAAGTATGTTTAGCTTAACTACTGATTTTAAGATCTCTGGTTTGGAGTTGGCCATTATGCAACATAAAATTTAAAAATTTTACATTATGGCAAAAATAGTGTTTTACCAATGTGAATAATTCAAGCATAAGTTAGAGGTCGAACTGTTAGAGTAAAATATTTGGCCATTATTTCAGGGGACTTCAGAGGGCTGAATTTTTCAAGGAACATATTTGCAATAAGGCAAAATTCTATTGCCATACACTAGTATTTTTGAAATGTTTACTGACCTTTTTTTCCTCCTCTCCCCTTAGGAAAAATTGGATGTAGGGGTGAGAAAAGAAGTAGATGGCATGGGAACATCTGAAATAAAATACGGTGACTCAGTATGCTATATACAACATGTAGACACAGGCCTATGGCTTACTTACCAGTCTGTGGACGTGAAATCCGTGAGAATGGGATCTATACAACGTAAGGTAAGGTGATAGAAAAAAACATAATTTATAGAAGTAATTTTTTATGAATACACAAGCACAAGTCAAAAATAATTGGCTGATCTTTTTAGTCACCTGCAAAAGTTCATAATTTTGCAAGTGAAAGGGCAGATTCCACTGTAATAGACTCTTTAGCTTTGTAAAGTGAACAGAGTTGGATGTTACATCACTCATATATAGGATTATGGGATGCGTGCATTTAAATATGAAGTGAAGAAATATACAGTGCCGTCTTCTGGATTCTAGTTTAGTACCGTTCACTTTGTCCTCCATGCTGTGACAAAGTCCGTTACTGACATCCCCTTGCTTACAGGAAGAGGCCCACTTTTTGAGGTCCCCAGAAGCCAACAAGCCAGAAATTAAACTAAACACAATCTAAGGAGGGGGCGGGGTCAGAAAGGAAAGGAAGAGTTAAAGGTGTGTAATTGTGACTTATTCTGTCTTCATTACTAGACTCTGAGATTGGAACCAAGTCTTTGATTTATGTATATTCAGCATCTAGCAGAGTGCTGAAACCATAGTAGGTGCTCAATAAATGTTTCTTGAATGAAAACATGTATTTTCAAGGATGTGGAGTTATAATTGAGTTGGTGAGATTGCCCATGCACCTGCTAACTTGGTCTTCAACTGCATTAGCTTTGCAGAATTATGAGCCAGGGTGAGCTGGGTTAGCATTCTCAAGGTGAACACCTAATGTTGTCGAAATTGTGGCAGAAGAGGTTGATTTGGCTTTAAAGCAAATTTTTCTTTTGATAATGACGTTTGGTCATGGTTCTTCTACTAGATTTAGCAGATGTTATCTTTTTCTTTTTTTCTTAATATTTTACTTATAAAAATTTCAACTATAAAAAAGTTAAAAGACTAAACCAATAACCATCCACATACCCTTGAATTAGAGTCAACAATTATTATAGTTAGCCAGATTTGCTTTCCTTTCCTCCTGTCTTTCTTTTCTCTGTGTGTGTGTATGCAGTCAGACATCCACAGTACAGTTACATAGCATTAAGGTAATTCTATTACATCATTGACTATCCTGTTTGTATTCATATTTATTCTGTTATCTCAATAATATCTTTTCTAGTTGATTAAAATCAGGATGCAATCAAAATTCATGCACTTATTTATTTTTATGCCTTTCAGTCTCTTTTAATGTAGAACAAATTCTCAGCTTATTTTTTTCCTGTAGCATCGAGTTTTTAAAAAATCCATGCCAGTTATAGAATGCCTCATGTTCTGGATGTGTCTGACTTTTTTTCCCCATTGCCTATGCTCTTGGTAATTCCCATGAACTTGCAGCTAGGTATAAGGCTGTGCTGTCCAAATCAGTAACTGCTAGACACATGTGGCAATTTGGTATTTGTATATAACTCGAACTAGATGAACACAATTTTTAGTTTTGTTTAACTTTAATTAAATTTTAAAAACGCACACTTAAATTGTTGGAAAACTTTTATGTATGTTTGGAACAAGTTGGGTATGTGAATCTACTTTTCCAACCATGTCTTTGGTTCCTGTTTTCGTGCCATTTTAGTCTGCTGGTTTCTTTCTCAGGAACATGGCTGTCTTTCCTCACAGTGTTCTCCCTGACCTTTTCTCTACACTTCGCTTCTCAAGTGTGTCTTCCAAAGTACTCATTTTTTTCTTTGGTGCTGTTCTGTTCGTAAGCCCTTTCTGTACCTTTAAAATTTTAGTTTTCATGCTTTTTTTTTCTTGTCTTTATCTCACCCAGCTCACCTTTTTATCTCAGCTTGCTGTTCTTTCATCTGGTCTGCTGGTTTATTATCTCAGCATATTTTCCCATTGTGAATTTCCACTCCTATTTTATCGAAGTCGTAACTTGCATCCTGAGGACAGTTGAAATTGTTTTTATGTTTAAGTAGCCTCCTGCTATTTCAATTTTACTTAGCTTTTTAAAAATAGCAATGATTACTGAATTTTATTAATAAAGAAGATAAAAATCATGTGTTGTGTCTTTTAACTTGTTGATAAAATAACTAAGTTACCAGACCTCCAATTATTAAAGAGTTCTTAAATTCACAGAGTAAACCCTACTTGACCATAGTGTATGATTCTTTTGAAATTCTACTAGATTTAATTAATTAATATGTTATTCAGAATTATTACATGTATATTTACGGGGGAAGTTAATTTCTCTTTATGGACATTGAATTTTGAATTTCATACAATCTTTGTGTTTATTAATTTTTATGTGTCACAAAACACCATTCTACTCTGGTCTTTTTTTCAACCATTTAAAAATGTAAACACCATTCTTAGCTCATGGGCTATACGGAAACAGGTGATGTGCTGTAGTTTGCCAATCCTTGGTCTAGACTAGTCTGCCATGAAAGGTAGCTGTTCTTTGAAACTTTATCACAGCTCACCTGTGAAACCAGCTGGTCCTAGGTCTTTTAAATATTGTATATTAAATTATCTTTTCAATCCTTTTCTAAAGAAACTGGTCAAATAGAGTTGGATTCCTTTTGATTAGTCTTATTTGGCTAAAAATCTATTCTATTCCCCTGGAATACCCAGTTTTGTTTGGTTGGTTGATTTTTGGTTTTGCCATGGAGTTGCACACAGTATTGTATTATTGTAATTTCCCATTCTTTGTGTTTTTACTTTCTGTTTTATCTTTAGCCTGGTTTGTGAGAGCTTTGTTTTATTTATCATCACAAGGAATCAAATTTTGAGTTTATAAATCTTTTCTAGTACTTTATTTGACTTCTAGTTTAGTAATTTCACTTAATCTTCATTAGTTCCACTTTTCAACTCTCTTTGCTGTTCTATTTTTAGGACATGAAAACCGCAAGTTCTTTCATTTTAGTCATTCTTTTCTTTATTAATCAGGGCACTTAAGGCTATAATATTTTGCCTTTGAATATAGATATATCTGTGTCTCACTCATTTTTTATATAAGGAGTTTCCTCTTTACATTGCTTTCTAGATAATTTATAGTTCCAGTTCCTAGATTTAGTTCAGTACACCTGGGTAGGTGTATTAAATTATCTTGCTATAAATGTTGAATGAAGATAAGCACAGATGGGAACAAACGGTTCTACTTATATATAGTACACAACTGATCTGTGCTGTCAAAAGTCTGCAAGGTGGTGAACCTTGTGAAGGATAGGGATAGGAAGAGAGCACTAAGGAGGATTTTGAGATACCGTAATGTTTTCTTTCTTGAGCTGGGTGTTGGTCATGCAGGAATGTTCACTTGTGAAAATCATGGAACTGTTTTCTTAAGATTTTTGCATTTCTCTTTCCTAACATTATAGTTTCATAGAAAGTTCAAAAACAAAAAACTATCAAAAGAAAAGAAATATATGTATACATTTTTATCATTTAGATGATTTATAAGCATTGTTCAGTGCTTATTATTGACCAGTCTATGTTCAGAACTACTGTATGACTGGTGTGCCAGTGCAACGTTAGCTTTGCTGCTTTGTACCAAGTTTGCTTAGGCTGAGGATCAGTCGTTCAATGTAGATATGTGAAAAGGCTCTGCTGTTTGTTTTACTCGACTCATTGCATTTTTTGAGTAGTTCTTTAAAATGATAACTGAGATGGGCAAGGTGATGGGGGCTTGTAATTCTAGCTATTCAGGAGGCAGAGGGAGAAGGATCACTGAAGCCCAGGAGTTCAAGACCAGCCTGGGCAACATAGCAAGACCCCATCTCAAAAAAATGAAGTAATAACTAAATGAATAAATGGAATGGCTAATTTGTATAGGGAGCTGTGCATATGATTTTATCTGAACGTAACAGCTTCACAGTCCCCTGTACCTGCCTTTTGATTCTATCTGTTGTTATGGCTCAGCTGTTTGAGTACACATCTCCCTAACTCTAGTTTGGAAAAGAGACGTTGGGAGTAATGGCCTTATTTTTGCTTTCTTACAGGCTATTATGCATCATGAAGGCCACATGGATGATGGCATAAGTTTGTCGAGATCCCAGCATGAAGAATCACGCACAGCCCGAGTTATCCGGAGCACAGTCTTCCTTTTCAATAGATTTATAAGGTACTTTTTCTTTTGTAGGCGTAGTTGTTTGATACTTCATTTTCATTTCTTTATTGGATATGCAAATAGACAATTTAAAAGTATGCTATGATGGTAATAAATCTCATACTGTTTGGTAAGTCAGCAGAAACGTTAGGAAGTGTTAATGAGATGATTTAATGTCTTTCTTTTAAATAAACTTTTAAAAAGAATATGGTTTTGGAAATTGGATGTGTAATTTGTAATTGATAGGTATAGATTAGGATGATTTAATGACTACTTTTCCTTGTACTGAACCTATTTAGTTCCTTTTTCTTTTCCTTTTTTCTTTTTGAGACAGAGTCTCACACTGTCATCCAGGCTGGAGTGCAGTGGTGCAGTCTCGGCTCACTGCATCCTCTGCCTCCTGGGTTCAAGCGATTCTCCTCCCTCAGCCTCCCGAGTAGCTAGGATTACAGGTGCTCACCACCATGCCTAGCTAATTTTTGTATTTTTAGTAGAGATAGGGTTTCACCATCTTGGCCAGGATGAACTCGATCTCTTGACCTCATGATCCGCTCTCCTTGGCCTCCCAAAGTGCTGGGATTACAGGTGTGAGCCACCGTGCCCAGCCTAGTTCCTTTTTCAATGAGGGCAGTGAAGCCTATATAGCTGCGGAGTTTTGATATGTATTTTTTTAAAGTAATTCTCATAAGAACTGTTCTTCCACCTAATAATTGCATATCTATAGACTAAATTAAACTTGTGACCAACATGTTTTCTGGTAACATTATACCAACATATGCTCTGACTTGCGAGAGATTGCATTTGTCTCTTTAAACTTTGCTAATTTGATGGGGGAAACTTTTTGTTGACCATCTTTCTTCATTTATTTTTTCTTTTGTGTTTAATCCTATTATTTGTTAATATTTCTGTTAAGTTGTTCTGAGCTTTTGTTATGTTTAGAGATATTCATTTCCTGTCATCATAAGTTGCAAACCTTTTTACCAGTTTATTGGTTTGGGAAAGAATTTGAAAGGATTTTTGTAGTAGTTGAATTGGTAAATTTTTTTTTTGGCTTTACAGCATAAAACAAATCTCCCCTACTCAAGATTATATTATTTTCTACTTCTTTTATAAACCATCTCTTTTATAAACCATACACACTGTGTGTATATGTGTGTGTGCCTGTATGTAACCAAAAAATGTGCACAGCATTTGGCCACACATCCTAAGTGTTTAGTCCATTTTTCTGCCTCGTCTCAACTCCAAGCCTCATCAGATGCAGTAAAGCTTAAATCGAATGGGGTATGCACCACATTTTTGTATTTTTTATTACTTGTATTACTTTTCAGTATTATTTGTATTCTTGTAGTTTAATATAGTATTTATTTCTTACAGTAAAAATTTATTACATTTTAATGCATTATAAAACTAGTCAAGAAGTTCTACTTGGAAATTATAACTTATTTTGGAAACAAACTTAGCCTTTTCATATCTTGTTCTTCCCACTAGTTTTTCTTTACTAGAGCTGATCAATCCTATGATAGGGATTGAGCAAATTAATCATAAATCTTTGAAATTGTCGATTTTATATTTAGTCAACACTGACTTCTTCAAATATGAGGGACTTTTTAAAATTCAATTTGACTGCTGTAGAGTATTCAGTGGCACTGCAGAGATACCATTTGGTAGGTTAATTTAATACTAGACCAAAAACTGGTTATTTGTTTTGAAAACTATTTTGTGGGAAAGCTACTATCTCAGTGTTATAGACATAATGTAGTGCTAGTATACCATAAGTGACATTTTTTTATGCTGGCTGAAATACCAAAATTCATCTTGAATGTGATTTACTTTAGCACATCTGCTCTTTGGAAGAATAATTTTAAAATTTAACTATTACTTTTCTGATTAGATAGAGTACCAAGTATGAGAAATTTGGATTCTGTGATAAAAAATGTTGAATTATACACTTTCTGCTTTATTAAATCTTGAAAATTATTTTTTGTCTGGGCTATTTGAGTGAAATTCATTTGTTATACCTGTCATGATAAAATAGGATGGTTACATTAACCCCTATTAACTATGAAAAGATTTTCTGATTCCCAGTCTCATTTTTTCTATTTTCTTTCTTCTTGCCTTGCTCTCTTTTTTCTAACTTTATAAGATGAATGCTGATATTATTGAGACCTTTGTTGACATAAACATTTAGTGTTATACATTTCTGTTTTTAGTGGTACCTCACACCTTTTGATTTTCCTTTCTTCTTTCTTTCTTTTCTTTCCGTCTGTCTCTCTCTCCTCCCTCCTTTCCTTCCCTCCTTCCTTCCTTCCATCCTTTCCTCCCTCCCTCCCTCTTTCCCCTCCCTCCCTCCCTCTTTTCTTTTTTCTTTCCTTTTCTTTTCTTTCTTTCTGTCTTTTCTTCTTTCCCCTCCCCTTTCCTCCCTCCCCTCTCCCCATTCTGCTCTTCACTCTCATTCTGTCGCCCAGACTAGAGTGCAATGGCCCTATCTCTGCTCACTGCAACCTGCCTCCCAGGTTTAAGCAATTTCTACTGTGTCAGCTTCCCAAGTGGCTAGGATTACAGGTGTGCATCACCACTCCTGGCTAATTTTTTTATTTTTAGTAGAGACGTGGTTTCACCATGTTGCCCAGGCTGGTCTCGAACACCTGATCTCAAGTGATCCACCCACCTCGGCCTCACAGAGTGCTGGGATTACAGGCGTGAGGCACCACACCCGGCATTGATATGTTTTCTTTCAGTTTCCCCTTTGATGACTTCTTTGACCAATAGATTTTTTCAGTTTCCAAATATTCGGGGATTTCCTGAGTATTTTTCTGTTACTAATTTCTAATTTAATGCCATTATGGTCAGAGAATATACTTTGTGAGACTGATCGCTTTGAAATTTATTAAGACTTGTTTTATGGCTTAGAATAAACTTTATTTTGGTAAATGTTTCATGTGAATTTGAAAAGAATGTGCATTCTCCTCTTGTTGGGTCGTGTTCAAAAGTGTCAATTTAGTATTATTTAGATCTTTAATTTCCTTACGTTTTTCAGTCTCTTTGTTCTACTAATTACTGAGAGAAAGGTACTGAAAAGTGTCTGACTGTAATTGTGGATATCTCTGTTTCTCCTTGCTGCTTGTCACCTTTTCTTGGTGCATTTTGAAGCTCCGTTATTAAGTGCATACCTGTTTAGGATTTTGTTCTTTTGATGAACTGACCCCTTTATCATTATGAAATTACCTTCCTTAACTCTGGTAATATTCTTTTCTATGACATGTACTTTGTATAATATGAACATAGCCCCTCTAGTTTCCCCCCACCCCACCTTTGGTATTAGCATCCTATGACCTTTAACCTCTTTGTATCTTTACATTTAAAGTGCATTTCTTTTAAGCAATAAGTAGTTGGGTCTTGCATTTTTGTCCCATTTGATAATCCCTGTTTTAAATTGTATTGTTTAATCCATTTACATTAATATGATTATTGATATAGTAGGCTTAAGTCTGTCTTCTTCCTATTTGTTTTATATTCGTCCCACCTAGTAATAGGATAAAGAGGAGATACACACACACACGCCACCACCATCACCACCCTTACACGGGAGCGTGAGAGCATATGGGTTACAAAAAATAAACCACCTAAGAACACTTTGTCATTGTCCCATTTCCTCCTTTTTCTTCCTTCTTTTGGATTAGCTGAGTATTTTCTATTATTTCATCTTACCTCCTTTTTATTGGTTTATTAGCTGTAATATTTTGTTTGTATTTTAGTGGTTACTTACGGATTAAAGCTGTAATACTTTATTTGTATTTTAGTGGTTACTTACGGTTTATAGCATGTATCTTTAATTTGCCACAGTCTACCTTTAATTGATATTTTGTCACTCTATGAATAGTATAAGAACATTATAATAGTATACTTCCCTCCCAGTTTTCGCACTTTGTCATTCATTTTACATTTATAGATGTTATTAATTCCACACTATATTTTTATTTAAAATCAATTAGTTTTTAAAGAGATTTAAATAACAAAAACATCTATATTTGCACATGTAGTTATCATTTCTAGTGCTCTTTTTGTGTGTGTGTGTGGATCTGTATTTTCTTCAGGTATTGTTTTCTTCTGCATGAAGGACTTTCTTTAACATTTCTTATCATGCAAGTCTGCTGGAGATAGACTCTTTTGGCTTTTGTACAACTGAAAATGTGTTTTTTGCCTTCATTTTAAGTGATATTTTTGCTGTGTACAGCATTCTAGATTGACAAGTTTTTTTTTTCTTTGGGTTGACTAATTTTACTCCCTATTGATGATTGTATTTTATAGTTCTTTATATGCCTGGTTATTTTTGTTTAGTTACCAGACATTGTGAATTTGTTAGGTGCTGGCTATTTTTATATTCCTGTAAATATTCTTGAGCTTTTTCCTGGGATGCTGTTAAGTTACCTAGGAAGAGTTTGATTTGTTTGGATCTTGCCTTTAGAATTTTCTGGGTGGGAAGAGCAGTGTTTACTCTGGGGCAAGTGATTCCCCACTATTGAGACAAGACCCTCTGAATACTCTATCCAGTGTCCCATGAATTGTAGAGTTTTCCAGTCTGGCTGCTGGGGACAGGCGCTGTTTTAGGTTCTGTGTGAGGGCCAGTTGCTGTTCCCTCTAATCCTTTCAGGTGATTCTGTTCCCTGCCTTGAGTAGTTTTCTCATGACATTCTCATCAGTGTTCTGCTGAATATTTGAGGGGGACCTTCTGTAGGTCTCCAGGGTTCCCTCTTGTGAGCCCTCTCCTCTCTGTGTCCTGTGAATTCTAGCAACCTTGGTCTCCTGGATGCTCAGCAATATCTCTTCAACTCATGGAGACTGTCAGGCCACACCTGGGTTCCCTTCCTGCTCCATGGCCTGGAAATTCTCCTAGGCAGTAAACTGAGGCAGCTGTAGGACTCACCTGATTTGTTTCCATTCCTCAGGAATTCCTGTCCTTTATTCATTGCTCTCCAGTGTCTTGAAAGTTTTCGTGTTTGTTTGGTCCCTGCCCCGCCACTCCCCATTATACTTTGTTTTTTTGGGTTGTTTCAGAGGGAAGGGAAATCCTGCCCTGTCACTTTGTCTTGGCCAAATGTAACTCACATCTAGTTGACATGTGCAATGCTTATTTCCAGATGAGATTCCTTGTTCCCCTTGGGAAATGTAGCCTAGAACGTCTTTGCTAATTCTGCATTGATATTTTTAGCTATCCTCCTCATTACAAACCCATCACAAATTTGCCATATTTTTCTGAGTTATCTAACATCTGCTTTTAACAATGTCTCTCCCTTGTGATCACCTGAGAAGTGCCATGGATAAACACAATTAACCTTTCTTTCTCTTGTGCTTAACTGACCTTAATCATGTATTAGCTTTTTCAAAAACTAAATTTTAATTAAGCTTTCGTTTATTCTCCTTGTTTCTTTTCTATATTTATCCTTTAGTTGTATTATTTAACTCCAGTAATCATGTTTATATTGCATATATATTTATATTGCATATATATATATCCAGTAATCATGTTTCTATTGCATATATATATAAACTTGCAAGTTTCACTTAAATGCACAGGAGTATTACCTATTATAAGTCCCAAATTTAGGCTGGGCACGGTAGTGACTCGCACCTATAATCCCAGCACTTTGGGAGGCCAAGGTGGGTGGATCACTTGAGGCCAGGAGTTTATCAACAGAGAGTAAACTATATTGTATTCTACGTTCTATACAACAGAATGCTACGCAACCAGTAAAATAATAAGACTTACAAAGTAGCAAATTGGGCTGAGTGTGGTGGCTCACACCTGTAATCGTAGCACTTTTGGGAGGCTGAAGCCGGCACATCACTTGAGGTCAGGAATTTGAAAGCAGCCTGGCCAACAGGGATGAAACCCCATCCCTACTAAAAATATAAAAATTAGCTGGATGTGGTGGGCATGAGCCTGTAATCTCAGCTGTTCTGGAGGCTAAGGCTCGAGAATCACTTAAACCCTGAACTCAGGAGGCAGAGGTTGCAGTGAGCCAAGATCATACCACTGCACTCCAGCCTGGGTGACAGAGTGAAACTCTGTCTCAAAAAAAAAAAAAAAAAATTGAAGTCCTGAATTTATATAATTTTTTAATATATTTAGAAGCTTTGAAAAGTTTTACATGATTACTGAGCATTTTAAAGAGCATATGCTTTTCAGTAAAATATTTTATTCATTTTATCACATTCATGAAAGCACCGTCTTTAAAATCTCAGTATTTTTACAATATTTTCACCCATGTATTTTTCAGTTATTTTTTTACTATTAATTTTATTAATGCCAATTTACTTATTACATATTAAGAGACTAATTTAAAAATTTTTACCTTTTGGAAAGAAAGTCAAGATAGTTAATCATTTGTGTTTTTCTTATGTGGTTTATGTTCTGTGATCCTTCTGTTCTCTCTCTCCCAGGTCACGGTGGTTGTGGTAGTACTGTGTGTGTATGTGTGTTTGTGTGTGTGTTTGTGTGTGTGTTTGTGTTGTCTTCAGGGAAGGGAGCTCTATTCTTTTGGCCTGGGGTGGGGAATATATATAAAATTTTGTGTGTGTGTGTGTGTGTGTGTGTGTGTATGTGTGTGTATACTTCTAATAGTAATACTCATGAGCATTTAAGTAATATATAATGTGTGTGTATACGTGGAAGTGTTTAAACATACATATTATATATAATTATATGTTATAATGGATATATTATGTAGTATATTATAATGTATAGTATAGTATATGTTATATATACTATACAATAGCATATATAATTAATGGCATATATTAGTATATGTATTATATGCTATACTACATAATAGTATAATTAACAATTGTATATATTACATTATATATGTAAAGTATATATTATACATTATATAATATAGTATAAACTATATACTATAGAGTATATTATACATTAATAATATACTATATCAGCATATACTATTAGTATATACTAATATATACTATATATAATGTATAACAAATATATAATATATAATAAATATATATAATATATAACAACATATATCATATATTTTATATACACTATATATGTTTTCATTTTTCTTCTGGATATATTAATAAATATATTCTTGAAGTAGATGAGAGAGGGGAGGAACCTGTATTTGTTAGGTAATAATATAGTTTAATCTTTAAATTACAAAATGTAGCCACAAGGTTAATAGCTTTCATTTTTACTCTAGCATAGTGTGATTCTACTATCTTTGGATTTCTGGATGATTTTTTTTCTCCTTGATTCTTGATTATATTTTTTGTTCTTCATAAATTAAGATGATATACATCTTTGTATTAGAGGAAAGCCCTGAAACATAACATAATTAATAATTTTAGAAGTTTGGACAACATTTCTTCTGACAAGAGACTTCTCTTACAAAGTAATTGAATAGTTACATTCCTCATGGTAGATATGTTTATTTCAATGTAATAACCTAAAAACTGACATTTACTGTTGTTTTCACTTATATTTGAAAATGTGGATACTGAATCGTTTTTGAATTTTATTCACTTATTAACAGTTGAGTTTGAATTTGTTATACATTTATTTATGTTTAATTGGAGTTAATGGGGTAAAATGTTTAGAAAAATACTTCACTGCATGTGAATTAAATGGGAAAAATAATTTTCTACTGAAAAGTCACTCTTGCATTTTGGGCACAGAAAAACTTATAGAGGCGATAAAACTTGGGGGTAGGTAGGTGAATTCTGTTCATATATAATTGGTATAGAATTTCAGGCAAAAACTTTAAAATAGTTGTACAGTTTTACTGTTTCTACTGTTTGATAAAGCTGAAATCAAATATTCCAAAATCATTAGCAATCTTTGTGGAAGTGATGACATATTTTAAATAATTTTTTAAAACTATAAAGTTCAAAGCTAATTCTCATTAATGAGTATTTTATTGTTTTGTAATGTAAGTTCCAGCATAGTCAGAAAATTAGTCAGAAACATTTGCTTGAAATAAAATGTTACCATACAGTTTTGCTAATACAGAGAGCAGGAATGGAAGTGTAATATTTCTATGCATTAACAACTTGTCATGGCTATAGAATATTACAATATCAACTACAGTAGAGATGTTGTCCCATTCTTTTATTGTATGCATTGTTTTAAAAAATATTTTTATTTTGAAATACTTTTGATCTGTAGACATGTTATAAAGTTCTTTTCAGATACATTCAAAGCTATGAGTTTAAAAACTGAGAATCTCAGTAAGCTCAACAAATGAACACATTTACATGCCAGTAATATATCTTTCTTCCAAGGCTAGAAAATACTTCATGATATTTTTGTTAGTATAACTTTTAAATGCATTTCTTTCAGATAATAGAAAAGCATTTTAATATATATTTACCGTTTCATAAGCAGATTTTCTAAATTAACATCATTAGAATATATTTTTGAACTCACAGGAATTAAACAGAATGGCAAGCTAGGGTCCATGAAAACTTAGGAATTCCTTTTTGAAGACAAACCACAAGGAAATGTCAGAATTATGAATCTGGGAAGATGAAGCCTGAAGCCTTAAAGTGTGTAGTGCTTTCCAATGAAAATCAACTGGTTTCTGAACATTCCTACTATTGGTTTTGTAGACACTGTTCCTGTAGCCTATGAGGTTATTCTCTGGGTGAGTGGCCGTGGATACTGCTTTTTATAACATAACATTGCACAGTTTCTGACTTGAATCAGAATCCATGATCACTGCTTTTGGAGCAGGAGGACCTTTCTGACATGTCCCTTTTACAGTGATGTAGGGAGAGAGATTAATGCCTGAAATCATCTATAAATGGAAAAATGATAAAATTGTGAATCACTGACAATAGAGAAATGTTTATGGTTTATTTTAGGGGCCTTGATGCTCTCAGCAAGAAAGCGAAGGCTTCCACAGTCGATTTGCCTATAGAGTCCGTAAGCCTAAGTCTGCAGGATCTCATTGGCTACTTCCACCCCCCAGATGAGCATTTAGAGCATGAAGACAAACAGAACAGACTACGAGCCCTGAAGAATCGGCAAAATCTCTTCCAGGAAGAGGTCCGTTTCTATCAACACTCATTTCTCTTCTGTTATTCTCTTGTAAAAACAGCTTCTTGGTTGGGAAAATTTTCCATCTATTTTGACCATCTTTGCGTTTTGCAATATAGAGGAGAAAGTATACTACTGAACAGGAGAAACAGGCCTTAGAGAAATCTCGACATGATTTTTATTTATTTATACTATCCATGAGTATTAATTTAAAAACATGAATCTTTTCATTCTCCTGGCAAGAGACATTTACTGTCTGCTCAGCCCTCACCCTGGTCTTTTGCAAGCACTATAGTTCTCTTCATGTGGGTTATATCAATTAAGAATCTCAAAGTGTCTGTACGAATACAGGCTTTAGAAAGCATCAGGGTTTTCAAACTATTCAGCAGGTGCTCCTTGGAAATGGCCCAGGATCTATAGGAAGCTTCGTGTTGGGGATGGAAGCTGTCAGGAGAGGGCTACCGGAGTAGGCTGAGCTCCAGGAACCCTACTTGGACAGAGCAACCCTACCCTTCTCCTTTGCATCTATTACATTTCCATGTATGATTGTATTGCCCCAAAAGTTTCACTGCTAAAAAGAACTCAAGTGTCATATTTTACAAACAATAAAAGAAGGACCAAATGATATATCTCATGTTCTAATATAGTCAGGAGCTTCGTTGGAGACTACGAGGGTTGATGGGATAAATCAGGCTTGTTCAGCTGGATTCCCATTCTTTTCAATGCATCTTGTATGCAGAATAATGATTTTTTTCTGAATAAATACTTAGCTTTGTAAAAGTAACAAAAAAGGTTATTCATTGAGTACACATGGACACAAAGAGGGGAACAATAAATACCAGGGCCTACTTGAGGGTGGAGGGTGGGAGGAGGGCAAGGGTCGAGAAACTACCTATCAGGTATTCTGCTCACTATCTGGGTGATGAAATCATTTATACTTCAAACCCCAGTGACACGCAATATACCCACATAACAAACCTGCACATGTAACCCCCAAAGCCTAAAATAAAAGTTGTGACACAGAGAAATAAAACTAAACAAACAAAACCAGAAAGGGTTATTACTAGGTTCTCATAATCCCTGTCTACTTTTAAAGCTGTGTTCTAATATCTCATCAGAAACGCTTGAAACTGACATAACTTTTTGAGGACGTTCCCACTGGGTATTCAAAAGAGATGACCTATCTAGAGACCTCAACGGCACGAAAGCAAAAAAGTATCAACATAAACCAATAATAACGTGGACTAGTTTCCTGGGAGCTTTCACATATGCCAAATTGTTAGGCTCTTTTACAATGCTGCATTTATTTAATATCTGGAAGAAGTAACATTAAATATTGGGGTGTAAAAATTAAAATAGTAATTTAGTTTTTTTCCCAACTTCTCATATAAGACAATCTGGATGGGGACTTGGAAATGTTCTTAGGTCCATGGTATCTCTTAAATTCTGTGTGAAATAAGTTAATTGGTTTAGATAGTGGTTTATATAGCTCTTTATGTGGTTAGATAGCTCTTTATGTGGTTTGCCACGCTTTTTACAACCTTGATCTACCAATAATAATAAAAATAAAGCATAATTTCAAACTCAGGCTGTATCTTACAAAGTTCACGATAATGCAAAAATGCATTACAGCATTTTTGATTTGCTTTAAAAATATCTTTTCATGAGCTTTACCTGATATACTATATCTTTAAGAATAATAATAATGCCTATCTAAGAATAAGGATCTGCTCTTATGGTCACTTAACAATAGAAGGCCATAAGTATGAAGTACATATTTTTAGGTTATTCTTCCACTGCTATTTGATGATGGCATACAGAATTTAAAATCTGCTTGAACTATCTGAAGAACATTTCATTTCACATGCAAATGTGTGTCTTCCTGTCCTTTGAATGATCACAGTTTTCTTTATGATTAGTAGATGAACCTTCAGTCAGACTTCTATTTTTAAATCAACTTAGCATTTTTAGTCTGTAAGCAGAATGACAGTTTTGGATGTCTGATTGTGATTTTTTTTTTTTTTAACGTTCCAGGGAATGATCAACCTCGTGCTTGAGTGCATAGACCGTTTGCACGTCTACAGCAGTGCAGCACACTTTGCTGATGTTGCTGGGCGAGAAGCAGGAGAGTCTTGGAAATCCATTCTGAATTCTCTGTATGAGTTGCTGGGTAAGAAGCATGATTGGGTTCATAGCAACAGAGTTATCTATTTAAAATGTCCATAAATGGACTAGGTGTGATGGCTCATGCCTGTAATTCCAGCAATTTGGGAGGCTGAGGTGGGAGGATCATTTGAGGCCAGGAATTTGAGACCAGCCTGGACAACATAGCAAGACCCCATCTCTACAAAAAATAAAATAAAAATCAAACACAAAAGCAAAAAAAATCACATAATAGCTACAGCAATTTTATAACATGCCTCCTAATTGAGACTTAATTTTTAATTTACTGTGCCAAATCAAATGGTGCTTAGTATTAAAATCCATCTCTGAGTGAGAAAGGTAGCTAGAGAAGTAGATTTGCCTTTGGTTAAAGGAGGAGAAAGTCATTCAGGGTGCAGTCTTTGCAGATGAGGGGCCTTTATATGGATGTGTGTTAAATATTTCCTTTTTGCTTTTGGAGTTAGTTCCGCAAGGGTCCCTCTTAATTCCTTACATTCCCATCTAATCAATGATCTGCTCCAGTCTTCTCTCTATTCTTTATATGATCTCTGTTTGGCAACTTCTAAGTACACCTGACATTGATTAAGCGACAGTTGCTGTGGTTTACCCTGCATTCCTGTGGGCTCTCTGCAAACACAGCTCCTCATTATTTTTGACCTCCTGTAGCTTCTACTTGTCTCTTGTCAAAAACTAAAGGGTCTGAGATTTTTACCCTATTTGCAAGCTAGTAAGTTAGCCTGCAGTTAGGGTAAAGAGGGACAGTTTAGTAGTCAAAGAAATAGCTGTAGAGATTGGCTGTAGTGCCAATTCTCTGAGCCCCAGTTCTCAAAGGACAATGTGAAGGGGACAGATGACACCTGCACATGCAGCTAGTTGAGTTACAGAAAAGGAATCCTGAGCTCAGGGAGTGTGAGTTAGTTACACTGGACAGAAAGCCTGCCTGGCCTTTGCTGTGGATGGAGACATCTCTCTCTTGCATGGCCTCTTGCTGCAAACATCTTGGAAAAGATTTCCTGAAACAAAGCCTTCCAATGACAAATTTGCAAGATGTGCAAAAACAGAGACCACGGGGAATGGTCTCTTTCTCTACCCTAACCCTCGCCTCCAAAATCTCAGATTCATCCTGTATGTCACAACTGTTACATCACTTCCCTGTTTAGACATTGTTCACATTTCTATATCATTCTAGAAGATAAAGTTCACCTTGTTGTCCCGGTATATGAGGCCCCAGTTAACCCTTCCAGCCTTCTATTTTCCCAGTTCCCTTATCCCTACCCCCTTACTTGAGCCACATCACAGTTTCCTGAACTTTCCATACACATCACACCTCTGGGACGTTGTCTCACCTTTTCCAGAATTGTTGTATATCCTTCAAGACCCAGTTCACATGTCACTGTCTTTTAAAGTTACTCTTGATAACCGGGCACAGTGGCTGACACCTGTAATTCCAGCACTTTGGGAGGCTGAGGCAGCCAGATTACCTGAGGTCAGGATTTCGAGACCAGCCTGACCAACATAGTGAAACCCTGTCTCTACTAAAAATACAAAAAATTAGCCGAGCGTGGTGGCGGGAGCCTGTAACCCCAGCTACTCAGGAGGCTGAGGCAGGAGAACCATTTGAACCCGGGAAGCAGAGGTTGCAGTGAGCCAAGATTGCGCCACTGCACTCCAGCCTAGGTGACAGAATGAGACTCCATCTCAAAACAAAAACAAAAATAAAGTTATTCTTGATGTTTCTCCCAACTCTTAAGTATAATTGAACCTTCCTTCTCTGGTTTCTTGCCACTAAGTTTCACCTGTATTTTATAGCACTTGTCACATTTCTTATTTAGTTATAAGTGTGATTGATTTCTAAGGCAAGAATAGCACCATTCTGGTTTTTGTATCTGCTATTTAACTGAATGTCTGGCACATAGGAGATACTCAATAAATGTGTATTCATTACGTGACTAAGTTCTGATAAAATAGGAAAGCATACCTAAGTATAGAAAGGAGATAATGCAAAAAAAGTTAAAAAAAAAAAGAAAAAAGAATGCATTTTTAATGGGAAGAATTTAGTCAAAATATTTGAAAATTCTTTACAATCTAATTAAATGTCATTAAAATTTATAGAGTCATAATACAACCTAGCAAATAAAACTCTTGTGCCTATTAGAATTGTTAATATGTTTTCATTAGGTGGGCTATTTGATATTTATTAAAATTAAACACTTGCAGTTTGGAACTTTCAGACTAAAAGGTGACATGCGGCTGCCATTTCTGAGAACAGGACCAGGGATATTGAGGCTTTATAGGAATTTGGATTCATCATTTTACCCACAGTAACGATTGAGATAAAGATTTTGTGTTGCCAAAATTCTAATGACTGCATTTCTTTGCAAATGCAGAAGTTATAGCACTAAATTTCATAATATAGCAGAGACTAAAGTGTGGTGATGTTTTTAACACTACATCCTACCTTCTTCACTTGGTATAAGATGAATTTCTTGGATAAACTCGATGCTTAAGTAAAGAGTTGCATCACCTAGCCTGGACAGCAGAGGAAAACCCTGTCTCTAAATAATAATAAAAACTGGCTGGATGCATTGGCTCATGTGTGTAGTCCCAGCTGCGTGGGGGGCTGAACTGGTAGGATTGCTTGAGGCTGGAAGTTTGAGGCCAGCCTGGGCAACCACCTCTAAATTTTAAAAAAGAAGAATTTCATGTATGAATGTTTGAGGGTAGAAAGTGTTACGTGCAGAAAGAACATTGTTTTTTAGGTAAATCTAGAAAATATGCATCTTTTATTTTCATATCAACTCTTTTTATAGTCTCTGTTCATTGGTCCCTTCAACAGGTATTGTATCCATGAGTAGCAAAAATGAATAGAAGGAATTATAATTTTTTATATAATCATAGAAAAGGCCCATTGCAGCAAAGTTAGCACTTCAGCTTTATCCTTCTGAGCTACTTATTTCTCAAGCCAATCCTCCCTTTACCTCCACAGAGTTATTTGGGGATTAAATTTGATTATTTTAGAACCTACAAAAGTAACATTAATAGACTTTACAAAATGTTGGGGACTTGGTGGGTATGAACACGGTTCCTGCTCCTAATTAGTTTTGAGGTTGGCTTTTACTGGAACATGGCTAGAAGTGTGATTTTAAAATGGCTTACCTATTTAAATAGAACGAGAAAGGAGCTCTTGAAGGTGGAGCAATGTTTCTATTGGGATGTGTTCAGTTGGAAATAACAGAATACCCAAACCCAAACTGGCTTCAAAAACAGAGGGGATTTTGGGGCTTGCACAGCTCGCCGTCTACCAGTGGGTTTGACACAATGGCTCCATCTTATCTCCAGAACCAGCTGCTTTATGTCTCCACTCTGCCTTCCATGGAGTCATCTTCCTCTAGTGCGGCCTTTTCTTGATGGTCTCAGCTGTCTGCTGTCAGCTCCTAGTACTGCATACTTTCTTTCTGACATGGGAAAAGTGAAAGAGGGCTTGTTCCAGAAGTTATCCCTTGTGAAAGAGTGTGCTATTTCCTAAAATCCCCAAATACAACGCTTCTCGCATCTCATTAGCCCAAATTGTGTCTGGCCATTCCTGAACCAGTCGTTCTGGCAAGAGTAGGGAAATTTTACCAACATTGGTCTTGACTGATCAGGGATCCACTGTTGAAACTGGGTCAACTCCTTGGACTGCCTATCTGTCATATAGGGAATGAATGTTATAGAGGATGGTGGCCAAGAAGCTGAAGTGTCCATCCCAAATGTTGACTCATCTACTTCCTCAAAGGGTTTTATGAACTGAATTCTAATCAGAATGCTTTTATTCACTACCTAGCACTATGCTTGAATAGAGTAGGCAGTCAATAAATATTTGCTTGAATTATTTAATAAATACGTTACAGAGATTTCCATTGACTTTTCTGTAGCAGGGTGCATTTGGCTATCAAATTAGTGTATTAAAAACCAGTGGAACTCTTACTCCTCTTTCATTAGGTTCCTTTCTTGAAAAATAAGCACCTGAACTTTCATTCAGGCATATAGCAAGTGGCATCTATTGTTACTATAAATATTACCTGTAAAATGGCAATAGTCATTCCCCTCATAAGGTTGTTGGGTGGCTTAAATGTTATAATATATAGAAAATGCTCAGCATCGCATATTGTTGTTCTTCTTATCATTATTCCCATTTCTTTTGGATGTTTGTTATCATCCTTTCCCTTGTTAACATAGTAAAACTTTTGTCTCCAACCTCTTGCTTCATTCTTATTATTGTTGTTTTGCTTTTCAAAGATGTCCTAGAAAAGAAACTTTACTTAGATTTGTTGGATATAGCAAAGAATGTTATGGATTAGCCAATAGAGCACATAGAATCATAATTATTGTAGGTGTATACTGGTTCTTGTTTTCCTCATCGGAAAATGGCAGGAACAAAGTTTGCTTTATCACTATCCCCAGACTGCAAATTTTATATTCTATTATTCTACCCATTTTTGAACACAGTATCGCACATCTGCATCTTTACCATCTGGTATACAGCTAAATACTTCAGATCTCAATGACATTCATATATGGTAAAATTTGTGGTTAATCTCTTTACCTCCACTCCTTCTCTTCTCCAGTCTTTACTCAGACCTCAGGGAGCTCTCACACACTTCTTATGAACTTTCATAGACTCTGTGACCTTGTTTACACCCCTCTTTTAAGAAGAAGGGCCTGGTCTGTCTCTTCCTTTCACCAGCAACCAGATGTTGCTGGTCTGTCTCTAAACTCTCTGTATTGCGTTCTTTTAATTCTTGGTCCGGTCTGTCCCTTCTTTTCACCTCTGATGTCGCTGATTCTGTCTAGTTAGCGGGCTACAACTTGGGAGAGAGATCTTGATATTATATTTTTCATTATTCTGAATCTATTAACATGCATTACTTTTATAATTGAAAAAAGTAGTTAACATATATCTCTAATGCCAGATAATTGATAGCAAAAGTAAAAACTGAATGTACTAATTACAGTTGAGTAAAAAAAAAAAAAACATTTATATATTAGTGCAAATGAAGAGAATCTCTTCCCATAATCTACAAGGTAATTTTAGTGGGAGATGGGGTGTTTCCACTGGATAGAATTATGAGAGTTTTTTTAATGTTTTTGAGTTCTTATGATTTTCTTTTTGTGTTATAGTGAGCATCAATTTCATGACCAGAAAAGGGTAACAAATACAACTTTATATTGAATTTTGACATGCAAAATACTTCAGAACCATATGCTGCCAATATTTTTTATTGAATTCATTGTAATCATAAGATAGCCACATATACCTAAATATATACTTCAGTTTGTCTGGAAAAGTCTCAGATCTGCAGCAATAATTGGAGTCCTGTAAGACATGTGTATCTACCTTTCCTTCTTTATTTGGCTGTCAAAACCTTTGGTTCAAATATTAACTCCAAATTTGTTAAGCCTCCTTCCCGTTATTCGAAATAGGTAGACCATAGATTCTCTCCTGGGGTTATATGTGAAATAAGCCACTGTCTTTGTATTTTTTCTTCAGTGTGTCTATTTTGCACAGAGAGAAAACCAAGAAGGTGGGAATAAGAATCTATAACAATTTTGCATTCGACATGGATATATTTCATGTGTTTTAGGTGGAGAATGACAAAGGTAGATTTGTGAGCCTACTGTTTGGAATACCTCAGGATCTTAGAAACAGCGATACTCATAGTTGGAAAAGCATCACTGTGGCATGCTTTCATACATCTTTTCTGACATCCACACGATTAATCTGTGGGATGCTTACAAGACAGAATGATTTTCTAAAGATGTCTGAGAAATGGCCGCTGGGCAAACTTTCCTATGAATACTCATTTTCTGAAGATTCAAAGTATGAAACCAACAAGGATAGATTGCTGCTCTTTGAGTATGGCCAAAATGAATGTTTGAAGACTTGGAAAGAATACAGCCATTAGCCATTATTTCTGCACATTCAAACCAATTTCCCAGTGTCTCAAGGAGGCAGATCTCCCTAAATGCCATAAAACATTGAGAAAAGGCAGTCAAGAGGTGAAGAAGAAGGAAATGGGCTTTAGACATGCACAGATCGGTGTTATTCTAGTGTTTGTGCATCTAGATAGTTCGATCTTGTTCTTCAGGAAGTCTCAGAAACGTATCGTATAAACAAGACACATCCTTTAAAATTTCAGCTTGGTGATAGTCTCATTGTCCCTTACTCTTGCAAGTTCCCAGGTAGGAGTCCTCAGACTCCAGTTTACAAGATCCCCAAACACAGGGACAGCTCTCCAAGCTCTCCAAGAAGTTTCAATGCATTATCTTCTTAGATTCTTCAGTACATTCTGAAGTGTTTTGTTTTGTTTGCTCGTTTGTTTGTTTAATGGGTTTTATTTTTTTCAGGCTTAGGAGCATCTACTTGTTAATCTCAATATTTTGAAAAATGTTTCTAGATTTTAGTCCAATTAGCCCCTCATTTTTCTGTGCTGCGTAGGGCCTGTTCACTTAGTGTTTCCAGGCTTTGAATGTAAATTCCAAGAGGGATGTTGTTTCATTTCCTCTGTACCTCCAGCACCTAGAACAATGCTTGACACAAAGCAGGGAATCAGTATTTGTTGCATAAATTTTTAAAGTGAAGGTAATTTCTTGGAATTTCTTTTAATCTAAATTTTTCTGTAAGTCTCAGATTTTTTTAGTCTTTTGTGAAATTTTGAGTCCAAGAATTCAAAGACATTGAAGCATGAAGCCTCCGGGGATAGGATGATACTAATAAAACAGATGAATATTGCATGATTCCACTTATAAGAAGTATCTAGAATGATTAAATTCATAGAATTAAAGAATGGGGCCAGGCAAAGTGACTCATTTCTATAATCTCATAACTTTGGGAGGCCAAGGCAGTGGGATCACTTGAGGAAGGGAGTTGGAGACCATCCTAGGCAACATAAAGAGACCCTGTCTCTACAAAAAGATAAAAGATCTTAACTTAGTCTTTAATTAGGCAGCAATTAAAGAGTATTGTAAAGTTTTAGGGAGGGACATTTGTCTTTTGTTTTTGTACCTTGACGCACCATACCAAGTTGCCATTGCACTTCGAAGATGACAGTGGTGCTCTGAGACATCTCATAATGAAAGCCACTACAGATACTGATGGCATGGTTTTCCGTTTTATTTTTGGAAAGGCATTAACTTTATTGTACTATTTGGTATTAAAATTAATACATTTTAGATAAGGAAAGAAATAAGAAAAATTAAGAAGGCAGAAACTACTCTTAAACTTAACCACACATTTTGATCTATAACCTTTACAAATGTTCCTTTAAATATTTATCACGTAATACATGCAGAAAACATTTTGCACACCTGCATGCGTGCTTGCAGAATAACACGTGTGTACATATCTGCACATCTTTGCAGCAAGACATCACCTATTCCCTCCTCTCCTTGAAGATTTGCTCATCTTGCTCCAAATTCCAGGTTCATGGACTAAGATAGTCAAAAGGCTTTCCTTTGATGTTGGTACATTTTAGGGGCTTATTTGGTTACATTTTTTTGGACTTCCGTGCTTTTTTATTGTCGTCTATTTTTTCTCTAAGAGTGAAAGTGTAGCCACAGAACATCTCTTCACATCCTAACTTCACATCCTAACTTCCATTCTCTTCACATCCTAACTTCCATTCTTATTGAGCATTTGTGATTTTTTTTTTTGACAGAATTTATTGCTGGTTCAAAGGGTCACTGTGAAAGATCATATTACAGGACATGGCCCTTTTTTTTCCTCTCCTGGGTCCATTCTTCTTCCACCTTATTTTGGAATAAGAAAATGTACCTTTTTGACCTGGGGAAGCAGTCCCACTAATATCAATCTTCCTCAAGCTCTCTGTTTCTATCTCAGTCCCTTATCAAGATATTTCCCCCCCAAATATCAGCAATCATTCTCTAAGAAATTTCTAAAAAACACAGTTTTCTCCATGCTATACATGTACTTATATTCAGTGTATACATTTACTTTACAAAAATGGAATCATGCTATCAATGTTCTTTTATAGCAGATGTTTTCAATTAATTCTACATTGTGGGCCTCTATCCTTGGTAGTAACTATAAACCTTCATCAGACTTTAGCAGATGTACACTTCTGTGCTGAGGTAATGTCACCATTTACTTATTTAGGCACATTTAGGCTATTCCAGTATTTTGCTGTTATAAAGAGTGCTGTGATGAGCTTCCTTGTATTTCTCTGCATACTTTTTCATTACTTTAGAAACTCACATAACTGATATCTTCTTAACTGACTGGATGAATTATAATAATTCACAGACTCCATTTATCTGTAAAATGTATTGGTACCCATGACATGCGCCTACATACACACACATGCACACACACACACACACACACACGCATGCATGCACGATGTTCAGGAGGTACTCTATTTTACTGAGTTAATTTTTTTCATTAGAAATGTATATATTTTCGTAGTATATTGAGATTGTTTGATCTTTTACTCATTAACAGATTTCCTGATATATTTTTGTCTCTTTGGAGGAATGAATCTCCACTTGGATGAAATGTTGCTAATGTATTGCTAAATTTGATTTATAAATACTAAATTTATATTGCTAAATTTGATTTATTAATTTCATTAATATATAAACTTATATAATATTTTTGGATTTATAAGAGTTCCTCTTGTTTTGTGATGTGTGCTTTGATATCAATGTCACTGATACTGCTTTTGTAAAATCAGGGAAGTTTCCTTAGTTTTTTGGCTTTGGAATACGGTCATGTGTCACTTACTCATGGGAACAGTTCTAAGGAATACATCTTGCAAACATCATGGAACTTACACAAACCTCCGTGTTATAGCCTATTGCACAGCTACGCTATAGGGGATAGCCTACTGCACGGCTATGCTATACGGGATGGCCTACTGCATGGCTATGCTATACGGGATGGCCTACTGCGCGGCTACGCTATACTGGATGGCCTACTGCGCGTCTACGCTATACGGGATGGCCTACTGCTCCTGGGCTACATAACCTATGGCTGTACATTTGTACAGCAATATGTACAGCAAATTACCATACTGAATACTGTAAGCAATTGTAGCACAGTGGTATTTACGTACATAAGCATAGAAAAGGTACAGTAAAAATATAGTCTTATGGTCTTAAGGGATGATCATTTTATCTGATTCATTGTTGACCAAATCATTGTTATGCAGCATATGAAGTAGTGTAGAAATTACTTATTTATTGAATATGTGCGAAAAAGCTTTTGGTCTTTGACATTTCAATATTACTCATGATTTATTATTCTGTTTAGATGTTTTCCCTTCTATTGCATCAGTTTTAGTGAAAAAATACATATCTATATATCTATGTATCTATATCTTGAGACCATTTTACCCAGATGTTCAAAATTACAGTATAAAGATGTATAAAATTGTTGTGTTTATAATTCCTTTTTTGAGATAGGGTCTCACTCCATCACCCAGGGTGGAGTGTAGTGGTGATATCATGGCTCATGGTAGCCTTGACCTTCCAGGCTCAAGCAATCTTCCCTCCTCAGCCTCTGAAGTAGCTGGGACCACAGGCATGTACCATCAAACCTGGAAAAATTTTTTAAAAATTTTGCACAGACTGGGTCATGCTATGTTGCCCAGGCTGGTCATAAACTCCTGGGCTCAAGTGATCCTCCCACCTTGGCTCCCAAAGTACTGGGATTATAGGTATGAGCCACTACGCCTGGTGTAATGCCCTTTTCTTAATTTTGTCCTTTTTTCCTTTTCTTTTTGATTAAAGTAGTAGTTGGTAGTTAGCTTATATTTAAAAAATAGTCCTTGAATGTATTCTTGATCAATCTTACTATTATATAAATTATTTTTATTTCTAATGTATTAATTTCTACTTTTATTGCGATTTATTTTTTTCTGTTTTACTGATGTTTATTTGATGTTCTTTTCCTCTATTTCAAAAGACGTATTTACCATTTTTCACCCAATTGCTTAGCAATTAAAGTGTTTATTTAATTTTGCCTTGAGTACACTTTTGGCCATTTACCATTGGTTGTGTTAGGTAGTATTCTAATTTTTGATATTTATTAGATATTTTATATTATGATATTGATTCCATCATTGACCCAAGAGTTATTAAGGAGAGAGTTTAAATTTTTATATGCTTTGGTTTTATTTTCATTCCTGCTTTTCTTACTAAATTCTGACACGGTTCTGTCAGAGAACATGGTTTATACCATGTCTGTTTGCAGTAAATTTAATGAACTTTTCTTTGTGGCTTACTTTATAATTTTCTTAAATGCCCCATGGCTTATTAAAAGAGTTCATTCTTACACTATTAATTTCTTTCAAGAATCACTTATGTTATATATATCATATATATAATTTTAGATAGATAATATGATAATGATATATGTTTTCATTTTAGATGGATAATATGATAATGATATATATTATATATATACCTATATAATTTTAGATAATACAATAGTTTATATATAATTTTAGATAGCTATATATAATTATATATTATATATAAAATTAGTTTTACAAAATCAGAAATAAACTGAAAAGCATGAGTTAAGTTTTAAACAAAAGGGACTCTTAAAATTCAAAAACTTTATCATGTCCTTTTTCCCAGTTGCTATTGTTCTAAATTGGGAACAGATATTCTTACAGAATAAAATTAGTTCTGCTTAGAACTTAGTACTTCTCATTCCTCTGCTATATTCCACCCCTATCTTTTGTCCCCTGTACTCTGCAGTCTGTGAGTATATCTCGATGGCTGGCTCTTAAGGGAGGCTGCTGGACCCAGAGCCAGAGGAGAGCCTGAGTAATGAGTGTATTAGCTCTTAATCTCTGTACAAATGTCACAGAGGCGCTATACACAAAAAAGCTCTTCTCATGAAGTTGGCGTCTTTTCTGTGTGTTTCTTTTCTTACTCTCAGGTCAGATAATAACTTTATTTCTTTATTTTTGGAAAGAGGAAACATGAAGGACATCTTTAAGTTTAATTGTACACTGTAACTGTAGGGTCTCTTCCCTCCTGCTCTTAACAGGGAGGTTAACAGGCGGTAGCCTCAAACTTCACTACTTCAAACGCTTGCATCAGCTACCAGATTTTCTCTGCTTTTTTTTTTTTTTTTTTGAAACGGAGTCTCACACTGTCTCTCAGACTGGAGTGCGGTGGCACGATCTTGGCTCACTGCAACATCTGCCTCCCGGGTTCAAGCGATTCTCTTAACTCAGCCTCCTGAGTAGCTGGGATTACAGGCGCCCACCACCATGCCTGGCTAATTTTTTGCATTTTTATTAGAGATGGGGTTTCACTGTGTTGGTCAGGCTGGTCTTAAATTCCTGACCTCATGATCCGCCCACCTCAGCCTCCCAAAGCGCTGGGATTACAGGTGTGAGCCACCACCCCTGGCCTACCAGATTTTCAATAGTGATTATTCTTATAGAGACATCTTTCTCTCTTTAAATATCATATTGTCTAAACATCTTGCCATCCTCTTGTAAGCAATTATACTGTTTCTGAATAAACTTAGGGGTATAAAAGTAGAAAATATTTACCATGCTTGCTTTGAAAGAATTTAATGATTTTGAAAAATTAAAAGTTTAAAAGTGAGTGTATAAACTAGGCTGAAAGAAACCAGAAAAGTCACATAGGAGTTTTATTTAAAATGGGTTGTTCAATCAAAGAAGTGTAGAAAACAGTAGTCTAAGCCAAGCTAGAATCAGTTTCTTTACTGCAGAATTTCAGGTCTTTAATATACATTGTGAATCTCTAAATCCACGGAAATGATATAAGAAAATAAAAGGGTTTCAAAGTTAGTGGCTATTGGTCTTCTCATCCATTATTTAATGTAACATTTAGTTATATCTCTCTGTATACCTGTTAGAGTTATAATTACTAGTTATATCTCCTAGTATTTTGTGGTTCATTTTCAGAAAAACTGATTTGCTCTTTTTATTCTATAGGTAAGAAAATTGGGCTTGAGAGAGAAGAATAATTTAATCTCATGGCTAATTAAAAGCAAAGGGGATTAGAACCCAAGTGAGGGAACTCCCAGGAGACTGTTTTTCCATTACCCTTTACTATTACCTCCCAATGTGAAATTCACTTTCCGAAATTACATTCCTTCTAATGAGCAGTGGTTTGCTTCAGTCTCAATTAATAATTATTAATTTGTCTTTAATGTCTCAGTGTTGTATATGTACGTGTATGTATGTTTGCATAAGTTTTTAGATGTAACAGAGGATATTTTGTTCTTGATCCAATATTTTAGGGCTGCATATTAGCTTATCTCAATTTTCGAGCTAGAAAATCACATAAAGGTGAAATCTATTTCTTCTTTTGCAGCGGCTCTAATTAGAGGAAATCGTAAAAACTGTGCTCAATTTTCTGGCTCCCTCGACTGGTTGATCAGCAGATTGGAAAGACTGGAAGCTTCTTCAGGTATGTTTTCTAGTTTTTTCCTTGTTGTGATAGATCACTCCTATTTTTCTTTGCTTCGTATCCTTTAAGACAAAAAAAAAAAAAAAAAAAAACAACTTTGAGTGAGGTGTGGTGGTGTGTACTGAGTCCCAGATACTCAGGAGGCTGAGGTAGGAGGATCACTTGAGGCTAGGAGTTTGAGGCTGTAGTGCACTATGGTCACTGCACTCCAACATGGACAATATATTGAGACCCCATCTTTAAAAAACAAAAAGAAAAAACTCTGATGTTTGGTGTAATATAAGTGTTTTCCTTTTAAATTATGTTAAGTATTTTTATTTCTTGAAAAATCATTAGTATTTTCATTAGTCATTTCTGAATAGTCATCTAACAATATCATGTCCATTTATATCTTAAAAAACCTATTTATAAAGCCCTGAAAACCACTAAAGAGCCAGAATTCTCATTCTTTTTCAAATTGATTACTGCTAGTCTATTCTATAAATAAGAAGATCAGTTTGGAGTTCTCATTGTTTTCCTTGTATTCAAAAGATTATTTGGATAGATTGGGGAGACAGTTCATTTTCCAAATCCTAGAGTGTAATATTTTATTTAAAGGAAATTTAGTAAATACTAACAAATGGTCTGTATAATAGTAAAATATTTATAGGCAGTCAACCCGATACACACATCTCTAATAAGATGTTAGTTTTATTTCAGTATTGTGGAGACTTATCAATGACTGTGAAGACTTATCAGTGATTTTGGACTTACCAGTATTAAATCAGTTATTTGAACTTGTTAGAGCTCTCTAGCTCACACATAATTGACCTCTCTAGTGCCATAGATTGCCTCAGTGACACCCAAATGAATCTACTGCTCTTCCATCTGTTTGCACAGTATTTCATTATTTGCCTTTCTTTATCACTAATGCCCTCTTATGTTACTTATTTTTCCTCTCAGTTTCCTTCATTAGTAATGAACTTCTTGAAGATAGGGGCATGGTTTCATTCATCTTTGTTCTTTCCGGATCTACCATACCATCTGGCACCTATAGGTGTCTAGTATTGTTTGTTGAATGAATGGATGGATGAACATTAAAATTCACTCAAAAAATACCACTGTCCATACAAAATAGTTCTGAGACTTTTGCATGATAAAGACCCACTCAGGGACAGGTTTGTTGGAATTGAATAGAGACAGAGAAACAACCATGATCAGAGAGAGTAATTTTAAGTCACAGAGAAAAATTTGTAGAGTTTAGATAGTGGAGGACAAAAATGTGTAGAGTTTAGATAGTGGAGGACAAAAATTTGAGTCATAGTGAGTTCTTGGGCACTGCTAGATCGTTGGGCAGCAGAAGTAAGATAGAAATGGAGATTGTTGTAATAAAAACAAAAATAATTATGAGATGAGGGTGTTAAGAGTATCATAACATGAATGTAGTGACTGTGCATTAATTGCAGAATATATTAAGGAAAAACCTGTAACTTCTAGCATAAAGAAGTGACCAAATAAGTGGTACTGAAGCAAAGTCATTGTCTGGGGTAAATACCTGAGATTCATTGTCTTGCACCAAGAAAATTAAGGACATGGACACACACACAAGGAGTGAGTTTAGGAGCAGAGGTTTAATAAGCAAAAGAAAGAGAAAGGAGAACAGCTGTCTCAAAGAGAGAGAGGGAGAGATAGGGAAAGAGAGAGGAAGAGATAGGGGCAGAGAGGAGAGACAGAGAGAGAGGAAAGAGAGAGAGAGAGAGACAGAGAGAGATCACGATTGAGAAATCTGGCCTGCACCAGAGTGCACCAGATTTTATAGGCAGGCTTGAGGAAGCAGTGTCTGATTTGCATAGGGCCCAAAGATTGGTTGGACTCGGTATGACATTTGCATAGGAAGGCTGGCCAGGAAGGCTGGCTGCTCCACCCTAATCTTATGCAAACAGGCTTTCCACTTGGCAGGTGCCATGTTGCCTGCTCCTTACTGTACACGTGGCTGGCAAGGAGACGGGAACATGGAGCCGCCATTTTGAACATGCCTAGTCCCAGGTGGTCTTTTCCTATTGGCACAACTGCTGGCATTCACCCGTGGAAGCTTCCAACTTGCTTCTCTATGTCTGCAGCTCGATTTTGCAGGCTGCTCTTTGTTAGAAAAGAACATGATTTTGGGACTGCTCTTCATTAAAAGGTAAACCTTACCAAGGACTCCTGTACCCTCACTATCTGCCTAAATAATTTCTCCTTAACTCCTGTATCAGTAACAAGATGGTGGCATAGATTACAAAAATGGATAAATGTTTAGGGCCAAGTGTCCAGAATCACTGGAAAGCTACAGAAGACATTTAAAAAATGCTCATGTCTTCTGCTGGACCCAGTGGTATCTGTAAAGAGATAGGTGCAGGGCAGCCTCAGAGCAGAGTGTTAACACTGGCTGAATCAACTGCACAGCGAAATGCTTAACTGGAAAACAGAGAGAGAAAAGACATGAACAGAGCCAAGCATCCTTTAAGGTCAACCAAGTACAGTCCAGTGTTTTCAGAGTCTTCAGTTTTGTCAGTTACAGGCACAGTTTCATCAGATACAAATTATTATTTGCTGTTGTCTTTTTCCAGTCAATCTGTTGATTGCAGGCATTCCTAATGAAAAGGGAAGCCCTGTGCTCAGAGATAACATAATGAAAGTCAAGGGAAAGAAGGACCCTTAGAGTATATTTAATCTAACATTCTTACTTTAGAGGAAAAGAAACTGAGGCAAAGAACATTTAAATGACTGACTCAAAATCTTAGAAAAATTATTGTTACTGCCAAGGTTAAAACTCAGCTCCCTAGCATCAGACTTGCAATATGACCATGATACTTTGTAGCTCTTGTTTTTTAAGTATCTAAAATATATTTTGCTGAACAATTTTTTCTACTGTAGTTAACATTTATGCTTTTAATGAACTGTTTTTTCTCCAGAGGAAGTGGTGTTGCTTAGTTTTTAGAGGCAGTAACAATGATGAGATGCACATGTGTATGTATATAACTTATTTCAATTGTGCTTTGCTCTTTACAAAGTGCATACATATGCATCATTTTTTTCCTCTCTGTAATAAGTCTGACGTTGCTGAACACACACTCTCCTCATCTCGTTAGTGCCCTAGCTGCAGATTCAAACTGAAGAATTCTTGAGTAGAAAAGGGATCAAAAGTAGGGTTAATTGTCTTCCTGGGATCTAGACCATTCTAGTCTTTACTGCCTTGGCAGGTCCCCAGTGCCTTGGTTGTTTTGGTTGATGGCTGGCCTGAAACACCTCGTTTACCATTGCCAGATGCAGAACAATGCCTAGGATTGCCTTAAAAAACAACATTGGAAATGAAGTGATGAATCATAGGTGAATAGTTAAATTATATTACAACAACATTTTCAGCTATATTATAGGTATTGCAAAGAATTGTTTAGATGTATATCCTGAAATAGATTTAGAATATATTTTTAAGTGAAAATTCATTTTTAGAATGTGTGATAGGATATATTTTTGTAAAAAAAAAAAAGTGAAGATGAAAGTAGAAAGAAATAAATGAAAAGAGGAAAGAAGGGGCAAAAACCCTGTGTAATATGTATATATGTCTTTGCACGCATAGGCTGTAGAAATATGTACACCGCTGTTTACTTTGGTGACCAAGGAGTTCAAATTAGAGGAAAGAAAAAGAGTAAAACACTGGGTTCTCTAGGACAGGGAATTGCTTGTCAAAACTTGTGATAAATAGCAAATGGGAAGTCATTAGACCCAAAGGATAGAGAAGAAAGGGTCTAATGAACAGTAACACCAATTATTTTTTCCACCTTGCTTTTACTTTTTTTTTTAAATTGCTTTTTCCATTATTCTTTACATTCTACCACTAATTTAGTGGCAGGGACAATAGTGTTATCTACCCGATAGGGCTGTTAGGGGGATTAAATGATTAATATTTGTAAAGTACATAAAAAAGTATTTGGTGGGCGGGTGTGGTGGCTCACACCTGTAATCCCAGCACTTTGGGAGGCTGAGGTGGGCAAATCAGCTGAGGTCAGGAGTTTGAAACCAGCCTGGCCAACATGATGAAACCCTGTCTCTACTAAAAATACAAAAATTAGCAAGGCATGGTGGCAGGTACCTGTAATCCCAGCTACTGGGGAGGCCGAGGCATGAGAATCGCTTGAACTTGGGAGGCGGAGGTTGCGGTGAGCCGAGATTGCACGACTGCACTCCAGCCTGGGCGACAGAACGAGACTCCATCTCTCTCTCTCTCTTTCTTTCTTTCTTTCTTTCTTTCTTTCTATCTATCTATCTATCTGGCATATATGTACTTATTAAATTAGATCTGTCCGTCCAATAATTCCAGTTAGATTCATACAAAGTTGCCTGGCTGTAGATATTACATATTGTAAGAGGCCTTTTATCAACATGGTGTTCAGCTGCAAATAAGGGAAAGTTCTACTACCCTGACCCAAACTAGGAAGGAGCGGGGCAGTCAACAGCACTTGAGTTCCATGCCATCGACCACCCAGGCTCCTGCCATTTCTCCTTTCCTCAGTGCCCCCTGCCTGTGCGTTGTTTTCTCTAATGCTGGCAGATGGCTGCAGCCTACAGGTTGCTGCATCTTTACTCCAGGCAAGAGGATTGAGGTAGGACTCAACCGACGGAGATACTGATAATGACAAGCATTACCTCTACATTTACATGGCCAATAGACAGACCTCTCTCTAATATTATTACAAACAGTAGTATCTTTTCAACATTTCATGAATTTACTTCCAAATATGATTTTACACTGTCATGAATCATAGCTCCTGTCATTTCTGTTGCCAATAGTGAGGAAAAAAAGCTGATGAATATGGAAAGGGGAAAGACGTGTGAGTAGAAACACAAACGGCAAAGCTGGAGTAGAGGCTCCGGGAGTTGACAGGTGCAGGAAGCTGAGCTGCCGTCAGCCCTGACTGTCAGCTGTGTGTAGGTGTGTGTGAGGGCCACAGAAGGGAGTTATCTATACATAAATATGTATGTACGTGTGTATATATGTGTGTGTGTGTGTGTGTAGATCTATACATATATATGTATAGATATATACATATGTATAGATACCTACACACACACACACACATATATATATATACACACACACACATACATACATATGTACATGCATACCCCTACCTGTTGGGCAAGGGGTTTGAAACAGTTTCAGTTTTCCTGACAACGTAATTGGTTTTACCTCAAGCCTTTCCCACTCAATGTTCTATATATGCCTGGGACCACAGTGATTAAGAAGTCAGAGTGAATACCTTTACAGACAACCAGAAACATATTTAAGGCTTGTGAAGAAGATTGTGTAGATTGCCTAACCTAGTGCTCTTGAACCACATTCTTCCCTCCCTTCTTTAGTTTTAGAAGCTGAAAAGCAAAATTCTCAAAATCTTAACCTCACTTAAAACTGCGGGTGCCCATGTTGCCCCATTCTGGCCTGTAATATCAGCTAAACTCCCTGGGAGAGCTTTGCTTCCCAAAGAAAGCCTTTCTAGGAGAAAGACTCAGGCCCTACCTCAATCTCTTGCCTGGAACAAAGATGCAGTAACTGGTAGGCTGCAGCCATCTGCCAGCATAAGAGAAGACACCTCACAGGAAGGAGGGACTGAGGAAAGGAGAAATGGCAGGAGCCTGAGTGGTCGATGGCATGGAACTCATGTGCTGTTGACTGTCTGGCTCCTTCCTAGTTTGAGCCAGAGTAGTAGGACTTTCCCTTACTTGCAGCTGAACACCATGTTGATAAAAGGCCTCTTACAATGTGTAATATTTACAGCCAGGCAACTTTGTAAGAATCTAACTGAAATTACTGGATGGACAGATCACATTTAATAAACGTGTGTATGCCAGATACTATTTTATATGCTTTACAAATACTAATAATTTAATTCTAACAACTCTATAGGTTAGGTAACATTATTGTCCTGTTTAATAGATGAAGGGACTAAGGCTCAGAGAAATTCAATAAGTGAGCTAACACAGAACCAGCTCCCGGAGCCAGGCAGTTTGGCATCAGTATCCTTGATCTTAATCACCCCACTGTGTTCTCTAAAGATTCTTACTGACTATGAGATTATGAATGGAAATTAAAATATGTATAGTTATATTGATGGGGTGTTCTCTTATTTTGGGGTTCTGTTTTTGTGGGGTTTTTTAATCTTTTAATAAGCTAAAATTTCTAAGCAGGCTTTCATAGGCTTTCTCTTGATCTTAATTTCTTTGAGCCTCCTGGTGTAATCTTAAATTCCCCAATTATATTTACATTTTTAAATACCATGGTGAGAAATGATCTGAGGCCCCAAAGTTAGGAAATAAGAAAAAGTGTGGGTGGTGGTAGTAATAAATCATTTATAGTGGAAGTGGAAGCAAAAATTATACAGAGACACATTAGCAACACCAAGGGAGTTTTTTAAAATTTATTTTAAATTGACAAACTGTAACTGTATAGATTTGTGGGATACGGTGTGATGTTATGATGTATGTATATAATATAGGATGATTAAATCAAGCTAATTAAATATCCATAACCTCAGATACTTGTCAGTTTTTGTGGTGAAAGCACCAGTGACACCAGTCACTATGTATACTAAGAGTATCTGATCAGTTCATACGCATGACCACTCTGAATTCATTTGGGGAATGAAAGATAAATCACATATTTTCCCTGACTTCAAGTGTGTCTAGTGATTATGTCGCTGGGCCAAAGTTAATTGAAAAGACAAAGATTGGTATGAGTAAGTACAGTTGATTGAGTTGATGTATTTCAGAATGGTGGCATTTTCTTCTGGATGTTCTCAGTCCTTGAAATACGATTTGGGGGCAAGAGATAGCTGACTAAAAACTGCTAGTCAGGAGGCTACAGAGTATTTCTGAGTTTGACTTTTTGTGTAGTCTGTTCCCTGCACAGTTTTGCAGTGATGAAAGTGGTCTCTCTTTGGCATTCCTGCCATTTCTTCCCCTCTCTTAGTAAGTGCCAGTGAGTGAAGTCCTGTCTGGGTTTAAGCCAAAGAAGGAGTCTTTGAGGCTGGTCGTGGTGGCTCATGCCTGTAATCCCAGCACTTTGGGAGGCTGAGGTGGGTGGATCACCTGAGGTCAGGAGTTTGAAACCAGCCTGGCCAACATAGTGAAACCCCGACTCTACTAAAATACAAAAAATTAGCCAGGCATGGTGGCAGGTGCCTGTAATCCCAGCTACTCAGGAGGCCGAGGCAGGAGAATCGCTTGAACCTGGGAGGTGGAGGTTGCAGTGAGCCAAGATTGCGCCACTGCACTCCAGCCTGGGTGATAGCGTGAGACTCTGTCTCAAAAAAAAAAAAAAAAAAAAAAAAAAAAAAAAGAACGAGTCTTTGAGTGGTCTCCAGATATCAAAGCTTCATGCTCATGTACAGAACAACTTGTGGTACCTGTAAATAGGATGGTTTAAGGCTTCCAAAGTCCTTATAATTCTTTCTTGCAGAGTATAAGCTCATCATTTTTCAAAGATGAAAAAGTTGTAAGCTGTGAAATAAATTGTGCCATAATCTTGTGTAGCAGGAAGTTTTCCTCCTTGATATTTACTTAAGTGTGGGCAATTGAATTAGAAAGAACAAGAGCTCACATGATATTTATTGTCTGAGATCCATTATTAGTGATGCAGAAATCATAGCTAACTGATTTGAGTAGTACCAACAATTCAGGCAACACTATTGACTTTCTCCAGGGTTAGTTTGGAGGTGGGATACCAGCAACCTGTGCTCATTCACTACTTTTTTCTGATTTTATTTTCCCTTTGCATAGCCCTTTAGGGTGGCATTCCACAAAAATCTTAGTTAGCCAGAGGAATAAAAGAGGAAGTCTTGTCTCGTAAAACCCACCAAATCCATTAAGGGCTTACTTGAGAAAAACTGCTTATTAGAAAACAAAATCAGCCGGGTGTGGTGGCTCACACCTGTAATCCCAGCACTTTGGGAGGCCGAGGCAGGCGGATCACGAGGTCAAGAGATGGAGACCATCCTGGCCAACAAGGCGAAACCTCGTCTTTACTACAAATATAAAAATAAGCTGGGCGTAGTGGTGCGCACCTGTAGTCCCTGCTACTCAGGAGGCTGAGGCAGGAGAATCGCTTGAACCTGGGAGGCAGAGGTTGCAGTGAGCCGAGATCACACCACTGCATTCCAGCCTGGTGACAGAGTAAGACTCCGTCTCAAAAAAAAGAAAAGAAAACAACATCACAAGCAGTGATGTGATTTGCACTGCACATCCACCTGGCCTGTTTCTAGTCTCCTTTGGGAACTGAGCTTAAGTTTCATTGTCAGGGACAGAACTGAAGTTTTGGCTTTTAGGCACTGTTACTGACAGATGGCTATTTATTACCATTGTCTGGTCTGATTGCATCTTGCTCATACCATTCTAGTTATTAAATATTTTTAGCATCACCCTTGGTCAAGTAATTGCATTGTGTCACTTGCTTTCCGTCAAGTTTAAGTGTCTGTTACCTACCTAAGGTACATTGTCATGGCTTAAAGCCTCTGTGTGGGTCTGAGTTCAGAGGTGCTTCTCTGCATTGTGAGTAACTTAGTTCAATCTTCTCAAGCCAACTTGCCTCTTGATGGCCCTTTTAGTCCTAAGCTTTTAAAGTGGGAGCATATGAACACAGTAGTCAAAAGAGGGAAGTCATTTGCCACCCACCCAAATGTTCCATCTGCAGTATCGAGGCAGGGTGCACCACTGTCCAGGCAGTCCCCTCAGGGTCAGTGTGATATAGTGAAAGTAGTCTTGATGGATATTAGCCGAGGTGCTTTGGCACCCATGAAAGGTACCTGCTCTGGAGAGAGGTGACCAGGATGAGGTCTCAGAGTGTAGTCAGCCCATTAGGATACAATGTCCTAATTGTGGGCAATAGGGCCTGTTCCAAAGTTTCCTACTATTTCATTATCAAAAACAGGGTTCATCCCTACCAAGACTGACTCATCAGAAATGGCAGCTCATTTTAAAATCATTCTATTTCTATCTTCTTTGCTGCTATGTTTAGGAGAAGCAGAGCTCATAGGTTACAGGTATGGATTTTAGAGTTGGACTGGCCTAAGTCCAATCCCAGCTCCACCGTTTATATAATAGCTGTATGACCTTGACCAAGTCGCTTAGCTCCTCTGTGCTTCCCGTTTTTTAACCTGTCAATGGGAATGGTAAAAATATCTGCCTCAAAGTGCTCTTAGTGACACTACAAATGTGCTTATTAAATTAAATGTATAAAAATACCACAGTACGCACCTAGCACCTTTTATTTTTGGATTTAGCAGTTGTTGGTAGCTACAAGATTAATTTGATTTATTAAAAGCAAGGTTTTCCCATGTTCACACTGCTAAGATATGATATGGAGAATTTCAGATGGAAACGCATAATAATAGCAAAGGCTGATACAAGTTTTACTATGTTTTGGATACTGTTCTAGTCTCTTTAAATATATTAACTTACTTAATCTACACAATAACTTTATAAAGTGAATAATATTAGTATTCCCATTTCACAGCTGGGAAACTGAGACATGGTGAAATTGTCTTTCCAAGGCCAGACAGCATGTAAGCCACCGAGGCAGGCCTTAAGGGACCCCCCTACCCTCGCTTACCATCTGGCTGCAAATTTCATGCTCTTTCCCTTCATAATAGATAATGTCTCAGTTGGGGGCCAGCGGGATGGATAGTGATGGAATGAGTGTGCACTGTATGTTATTTGAATGTGATGAAGAAATAGAATAACTCTCTCATGTAAATAGGCAAGTTCAATTGTTGCAGATCTGTAGAATTTCAGTGAAAGTGAAAGTGTTTTCTGGAGGCTTCGTAACCCACCTAGCCTCCCTTGTGGCTTTACTACCCCTCTCTTGAGTTACATTGGGTGATGCAGGCTTAGTGGCGAATGATTCAAAATACTACTCTTCATTAAATCACAAAGTGTTTTGGTCTTCTGGTAGTACTTTCTCATATTCTCAGGTCTGAAGTGATTTGCTCAGTTTTCCAAAAATACATCCACTTTGAAATGCATTAAGTTGTTGTATTTCACCCTACACATACTGATATATCTCACAACTATATACCATTCTGCACACAGTGCCCTATCTAAAATTGTGCTTTTTGTCAATGTATTGCACAACCTTTCTCCTTCCTTCCCCTTACTTTACACTTGCTAACTACAACAACTAGACTATTCTATGCACCTTTATTTGTTTTCTTTGCGATCACTGGGAATGATGCGCTTGGTTTGTCTTTATACTGCAGGAGAACTTTTAAAATTGATGTAACGATGAAGCTGATGCTATGCTCAGTTTACATTTCTGCCCAAAATGATAGCTCTCAATAAATATTTGCTGCTTTGAGGTACACATCTTTTGGAAGAACTTGCTCCAGGGGATCCATCTTAAAAAATTCTCAGGTGTTTATGTCTTGTAAACCTTTGAGTAAGGCTTTAGAGCAAACAGTTACATCTGCCAGCATTTCTGTGGGTACTGACGTTTCACAGGGAGACCCAGAGTCTTAGACTTTTGAACATTATAATGACTGCGTAGTTTTTAATTGTGCAACGAAGGAAATCTCAAGTGAATTTAGGGCACTGTGCTGACAGTGTCATATGCATTACTCCACTGGATTTCCACAGTTACTCTATAAGGTAGGTTTTATTACAATTTCCATTTACAAATGAAGAATCTGAGGCTACACAGCTCAGATGTCACCTTTTCAAGGTAAAAGGAAACTAATGAACCTAGGAATGAACCTCTGTAGTCTGTCTGTAAGCTCTATGAGAGCAGGGATGAGGCCAATTTTGCTCCTCATTTTGCTCAAACCCTGGACCTAACACAGTGAATGGTCCATTTGATGTACTCAGCGATGCATGAATGAATAAATGAAAGAGACCCCCAGAAAACCAGAACCATGATTGTTAACAGCAAGATAGGCATATCTGGCGGGGCATGGTGGCTCATGCCTGTAATCCCAGCACTTTGGGAGGCTGAGGTGGGTGGATCAGTTGGGGTCAGGAGTTTGAGACCGTCCTGGCCCACATGGTGAAACCTCGTCTGTACTAAAAATACAAAAATCAGCTGGGTGTGGTGGCATGCGCCTGTTGTCCCAGTTACTTGGGAGGCTGAGGCAGGAGGATCGCTTAAGCCTGGGAGGCAGAGGCTGTAGTGAACCAAGATCATCTCAAAAAAAAAAAAAAAAAAAAAAGAATATCTTGAAGTATTAATGATTTCCTATCTGGCATTCAACATTTTCTTAGGTTTTGAGATGTGGCAATTTATACAAATAAATGTTTGTATAGCATAAAAATTCTAATACCGTTACTTGTTGTATAATGAACTGCTTTTAGTTGACATTCTCTTTTCTTTTAACTGGACTTTAACTTCTATAGTTTGTCTATTTTTTTATAAATCATGGTTCCTTAAACTGAAGGCAGCAAACCATCAGGGGCCTAATTAAGGCTGCATAGTACATTATAATTACAGTGCTCATTTTGTGTGTTTTATTTCAGCTAATTTACTCCAGCAAACTCCTGACTCATATTCATCTTTTCTTCTAATAAAAGACTCTTGGTCCATCATTTTTGTTTGTCTGTTTTGCAAATGCATCCACGATATTCCCTCATTCTGTATATGGATAATGATGTGATCCACCTTTTATCTTCACTAACTTCCATTTTTATTTATTTTTCTCTCCTTTTCTTAATTTTGCCAAGCCGTGTTATATTTTAGTTTTAACCTCTGTTGCTTTTTTCTCCTTTTTGGAGCTTTATGAGTGCTCAAGATTTAATGGGCTTATTTTCTTCTTTAGCCACAAAACCAGCATAAAAATATGAAGCATATGTAATTATGTATTTTGGTAATTTGGCTTGAGCCCAAATCTCTTGGAATTGTTATTTTTAAGTGTATATATACATATATATATATATATATACACACACATATATATATTCATATCAATTTATTTTTCTCTATTTCTGTGACTTACGGAAACTCTATTTAGAGTAATGTATTTATTTCATGAGTTAACCCCCTGTTAACAGGAAGCAAAATGTGCACTGCTTCTTTTTTCTTTTCTTTCTGATTATATGTAAAGAATAAAAAGTTAAAAAATAATTTACCAGTTTATCTTATATTGAGACTCAAATGATTTCTTGACTTCAAATTTATACCCATTTTAAACAAACAAAAACATTTTTCTCCGGCTCAGTGGTGATTCAGTTTGTGATACACAAAATTCACTGCAAACATTTAAAAAGATGTGTTGTAATTATGCTATATATTGACTCATCATTCAACTCTTGCTATTTGTTTTGGGTAGACCCAATTCTCCTTGGTAGGAAGAGCAAACTAAGCTTCCAGTTAGCTCAAGCTAGACGTTTCTATAGTTCCTACTTTCTCATTTTCCCTCATGGTTGTGCTTACTCTTGAAAATAAGACAACTTAGATGCAATGCGTAAGTTATCACTCATTGGCAGTTTAATTTAAACTCGTGGAAAAAAACAACAGATTTGTGCCTTTACAGAACCCTCTCAGATGCACAGGCCCAGATACAAATTACTGCTTTTACACATAACTCAGATTCTTTCCCTTACAGCCTCACCATTGCTGTGTAGCAAAAAAAAAAAAAAAAAAAAAAAAAACCACCTCCCAAACTCCTTGGATCTTGTGCCAACATGGAACTAGCTAGACCATGTCTTCTCTACAGCAAACTGCTGCTTACTTCATTTGCATGTTTTTCTTTTTTCATGATGTTGGTTTCGTAAGAAGACACTCCTGTTAACCAGGGGTGCTTTATGCTTTGTTTTAGCATTTATTAAACCCTAAGTCTTAGTTGAACTTTCACTACTTTTTTAATTTTATGAGTACATAGTAGGTGTATATACTCATGGGACACATGAGATGTTTTGATACAGGCATGCAATGTGAAATAAGCACATCATGGAGAATGGGTTATCCATCCCCTTTCAAGCATTTCTTCTTTGAGTTACAAGCAATCCAGTTACGTTCTTTAAGTTAAAGAGTTAATTGTACATTTAAAATGTGCAATTAAGTTATTATTGGATATAGTCGCACTGTTGTGCTATCTAGTAGTAGGTCTTACTCATTCTTTCTATTTTTTTGTACCCATCAACCATCCCTACATTCCTCTAGAGCCCCCCACTACCCTTCCCAGCCTCTGGTAACTATCCTTCTACTTCCTGTGTCCATGAACTCAAATGTTTTGATTTTTAGATCTCGCAAATAAGTGAGAACATGTGATGATTGTCTTTCTGTACCTGGCTTATTTCACTTACATACTCATCTCCAGTTCATCCATGTTGTTGCAAATGACTGGATCACATTCTTTTTTATGGCTGAATAGTACTCCATTGTGTGTATATACTGATTTTCTTTATCCATTCATCTGCAGACGGACATTTAGGTTGCTTCCAAATCATTGCAATTATGAACAGTACTGCAACCACCATGGAGTGCAGATATCTCTTCGGTATACTGATTTCTTTCTTTTGGGTATATACTCAGCAGTGGGATTGCTGGATCACATAGTAGCTCAATTTTTAGTTTTTTGAGGAACCTCCAAAATGTTCTCCATAGTGGTTGTACTAATTTACATTCCTACCAACAGTGCAGGAGGGTTCCCTTTTCTCCATACCCTTGCCAGCATTTGTTATTGCCTGTCTTTTGGATGTAAGCCATTGTAACTGGAGTGCAATGATATCTCATTATAGTTTTGATTTGCATTTCTCTGATGATCCTTCACTGCATTTTTGACTCAGCTCTCCTGTAATCTCAAGAATGCAAAACTTTCTGTGGTTCTGCCCACTTGCCCTCCTTGTTTCTCTGTGCCTCGCTGTGTCTCTCGCCAAGGTCTAACAGGCTGGTTTAATTTCTCCTGATTTACTAATTTACCTGATTTTATTTGAATCAAACTAACTTTGATTCCATGTCTTCATGCTGATTCATAGATATCTCCCCTGAATTCTCCTCTGATCAGTGTTGTCCATTCAGCATTTCTCTACCTCTTACGACTATCATCACTGCTCCACAAAGGAGCATATTGGTAATTCTTCCCTGTTGATCTTTGTTTCATTTGCCTTATTTTATTTCAACCATAAAATAATAGCAAATACTTACATCACGTTGCTTTGATCCAAGCTCTGTTCTAAATGTCTTACATGTATTGCTATTCATAACAATTTCTCCTCTCCCAGGCACCATTATTACATCCATTTCATAGAGGTGGACACTGGAGCACAGAGATGTTAAATAGTTTGCTAAAAACCTGCAAGGACACAAAACTAGGCACATCGGCTTACATCCATGCTTATCACCAGTATATAATACAATAGAATAATAATGATACCTCTTACTATGATATTTCCCCATTAAATTTTGTAAATACCAAGACTGCCAATCAGTTACTCTTCTGAAAGGATGATGGTCTGTCACATCCCTAAGTTATTTCATTTAGGAATGCAAATGTCGTTCATGTTCTGTGTGTTTCCCTGTTCTTTCTAGTCATTTCCCAGTTTACTTCCCCATCTTTTTACTCGTTATGTCACTTTATTTAATTACTCAGAGCTAAAAGACAAATTTTCCTACTTTCAGTGAAATGTCAGTGAAATCTGGAGATATTAATAAAAAGGTTCTGACCAAAAAAGCTCTAACAGGTTTCGACTCCCAGGTAGGAGGGAAAAAAATCCCCAAACAAATACCTGTGGTTTGAATAATTTGTAATTAATTCACTGGGTCTCTGATTGTGACTTCTTTCGCTGATCTGCTGTGGACACCGCCAAACTGTTTGACTGGCACTGTATCTCCACTGTTTCCTTTACATGGGGCAGTTCAATTCCTACTAATTAGCACTCAGCCGGAGTCTTCCTGTTTGCCTACCTCTAGCTTAGACGAAAGGGTTTCCATGTCATGATTTTCAGGTGGGGCCAGGTGCTCCTTCTGGAGTAATCTTTTGTCCAGTATTATTACTCCTACTTGAAATAGAGGTGGAAGAGAGACTTTCCTTCTCCCAGAGCAGAATCACACTCCTGTATCCTTCATGAATAGAGAACTAGGTTCCATCTAAATCCACATACATCTTGGTGTTCTGGGATGATTTTGACTGTGTTTTATTTTTGCAAAACAGTTGTAACCATAGATGAGAAACAGTACCATGGGGGGTGGGGCATGGTGGTTTCTAAGTCTGTGGTTTTCCTGGGCTTTCTGCAGTGATCATGGGAGCACCAGCGTCATGGCTTGCTTTGTCCCCACGTTGGCCTCCTGTGCCTGTGTGGCTACCAGTCTAATTCCATTCACTTCTTCTCCCAAATGTAAGCTTATGCCTACTTGCGATGGGGCAAAATCCCCAGGCTAGATTCTTCTTGGTAGGTAAAGTCAGCCTACGTAGAGCACTCTTGCCCTGTGGCTTGTTTCTAGTTTTTCTATACAGATTCTCAACAAATTTTGTTCAACCTCAGACAGCCTGAGTTGTGACCTGTGAATATACAATAGCAAAGTCAACTTTGATCTCTAATGAAGTTCCTACAGATTTGTAAGTCAAGTAACAAAAGTCTAAGTCTATCAGTAAAAAGCAAACAGGACCACTTTTTTTTGGTTACAAAAAACATGATAAGGAATATTCTCTACCCATCACAGCACTTGGCCACAGCTCCCAATACCATTAAGTTATTTCTAGACATTTAGTTACATCCTTGGAGATTTTCCTTTCTCGGGAGAACATAAATAATTCACAGTTACAACCATAAAAGTTTTAAGGCAAATGGCTAAATATTTGCACGTATTAAACATGCAGTGCCTGCAGCCTCAATTTTGTGTTCTACAAACAAACAGCACAGAAATTTGCCGAATTCACCAAGTAAAATTTTTCCTCAAATTGAAACACAGATAAGGAAATCCTAGCACTAAGAAATATAAATTCCCTATGTTGTGTCCTCTGTCTTTTCTACATTTAAAATAATAACGGTTTTAAATGAAATTCTCCAGATATAAAGTATTTCAGTTATTCTATTTACACTTAACAATTATGAATCTTGTTATGAGTAAATAAATAAATGGCAGATTTATTTTGTTTAAACAGAATGTGAGAACCAACAGTCCATTTATATTCATTCACTTATTCATTTGGCAAACACGAGATGACCTTCCCTGGGTCAGAGTGAGCTGGGTGACAAGGAGGCAAAATTAAATCAATATCTGCTCTCAAGGGCTCGTTCTGTAATGGGGGATTGAAATGAGAATTTTAAAAATGTGAATGTGCTTGTTACTACAAAAGGAGGAATAATTAATTCATCTCAGGGCATTGGTAAAGACTCACCAAATGAGGTAACTTTCAACCTTTGCAAGCTGATTGAGATTTTGCAGTCTTAGACGGTGGGAGTGTATTTAGATCTGAGAATAACATCAGCAAAGGATTGAAGGTGGGCAAGTTCCTATAAGTTTCAAGAGGGCCTTGCCTGTCTGGTTCACTGCTGATCCCATTCCTTGGAACAGTGCCTGGTAGGTGCTTAATAAATATATATGATTCATATGTAGGTATACATATTAATTGTTGTTTGTGGGAGGAAGCGGCAGGAATTGAGGCTGCAAAGGAAGGTTGCACTATCTGGTTTAGGGACTGATATTCTATGCTAAGGGGAGTGGACTTTGACCTTGGAAGGTCTGGGAAGCCATTAAAGATTTTAAGCAAGGGAGTGACATTGATTAAATGTGTGTTTCAGCATAACCACCTACAGTTTGGAGGATGGGTTGGGGAGGGAGGAGAAACTGGAGGAGAGGATATAGTAAGAGGCTATTCAGTGAAAGGAGAGGATGAGTTTAGGAGATAAATTTGGACACAGGATTAATGAATTTTAACAATTAGATTTAGGAAAATGAGAAAGTGAAAGAGGATTCAAAAATGACTTCAGGTTTTTAGCTTGAATATATGGATGCACGATGGATGAGAGAAGCAATTTTACATATATACGTACAAAGAAAGGTGTTATGTTCAGCTTTTGAAAAAGTTAGTTGGGGGTACTTAGAGACATTCTCATTGAAATGTCCAGAAGATAATTAGGAGATGATATTTGAAATCAACTTGGAATAGTCAACCTAAGTTCTTGTAACTCCTCACTACTAAGGTAAATCATGCATGTTAAATGGCCAGTACCCTGAGACCAACCCTAGTTTATTGCTGTACAATACTTAATTCTAGTATAAACTCTCAGTACTGTAATTTGTGTGTTCTCTGTGTAGCAACTGGTAGCTTTTGTTTATGCTTATTCCAAACTTATGGAATGAAAATAAGTTTATATAACTTGGATGAAGTATAAGACTTAAAAGACTCCATAGATTAAAAGTTAATTATAGTTATATACTGTAGAGAGGAAAGGCAGCTAATGTTACTGGCCTTTTGTTGTCAGGCCTCATTAAGTTGCATGAATTGACTAAGTATTGAGATTTAGTGGCAGAAATAAAATGTAAGTAGACATTACTTCCTATTGTTTTATGATTCTTTTAAAATACGTTTCTTACTATAAAAGTTATGCATGCTCATTTCACAGAATTTATGAAATATTGGGAGAGAAGTATACAAATCCAGCAATAACCAAGACTAACCTTTTTAGGTAATAACTTCTGGTCTTTTTTAAAATATGTATTTTATACAAATGAATATATTTTACATAGTTGCAATTATAATCTATATGTTATTTTGGATCTACTCTTAAAAAGTTACATTGATTATTATATATTTCTATGATGTTAAAAGGTTCTCTCAAATCATTTCTATAAACTTATTAAAACATAAAATTCAATTGTTTTGCATTATTAGTTGTAGTTAGTTGAAATTTTTTTAAGTAATTTGTAGTATATTTATAATTCTTTCATTCCATAATACTGTTATGATCTGCCAAGCTTTTAAATTTGAGAATCTAACCATAAGCTTCACGACTATAGCTATTTCTTGGTCTTATTGAATGTATTTAGAATTTAGTGGTCAAATGATTGTAACTATTGATATTATAATCTTCATTAAGCACTGTTTCTCTGCATCATTTTTCATCCAAGTGTTCAAAGCATATATCAGCATAATTTAAATATACGCATAATATTGTATACCTATTCCTTTTTTTATTTAAAAATGGACTCTTTGGTGTTTCTCATTTGTTGTCCTTTAAGAATTTTTTATTATACAAAAGCACATTTGCTGTTTATTTCAATAAAATTAAAAATCAAATTTATTTCAGGCTGGGTGCTGTGTCTCGCAACTATAATTTCAGCACTTTGGGAGGCTGGTGGGAGGATTGCTTGAGCCCAGGAGTTCAAGACCAGTCTGGGCAACATAATGAGACCACCCCCGTCTCTACAAAAAAAAAAAAAAAAAAAAGCTCAGCATGGTGGCATGCACCTATAGTCCCAGCCACTCAGGAGGCTACGGGAGGCTAAGGTGGGAGGATTGCTTAAGCCCAAGAGCTTGAGGCTGCAGTGAGCTATAATCGTGCCAATGCTCTCCAGCCTGGGCAACTAAGCAAGATCCTATCTCAAAAAAAAATTATTCCAATAAACCAGGGTTATTCTTGAGGTATTGGCCATCTAATATGCCTGCATATTTCAGTTTATTCCAATAAAATTGAAAATAAAACGTGTTTTCTCTGACTTTATTGTTATAATTAATAGAATTAGAAGCTGTCAATGTTTTTCAACTATTTATTTATTGGATCTGACCTGATAGAATTGAAAAACAAAGAAACTGTTTTAATGTTAAACCCCAAATTCTGAAAGCTTTCTATTAGACTAGGCTAAATAGGAGAAAAATCGGGGATTTGTTTTCATATAGCCATTTTTGCACTTTGTGACATACGCTATTTACTTCCAAAATCTGGTCATATCTTTTCTAATATATTCAGTTTATTCACTCTATGGGCCTTCATGAGTGTTTATTTTAGCACGAAAATTTATTGGTCTTCGTCTTAACTTCTTGGTCTTTTTTCTTAATGGTTATATTGTATTCCACGATTGGCAATCTTTTTCTGAAAAAGGCTAGTGTCTTAGTCAAGTAGGACTGTTGTAGCAAAATATCACAAACTGGGTGATTTATAAACAACAGAAATGTATTTCTCACAGTTCTAGATTCTGGGAAGTCCAAGATCAAGGCTCCTGCAGATATGGCATCCTGAGGGCCTCCTTTCTCAAAGAAAGTTCGTCCTCACATGGTGGAAGGGACAGCAAGCTCCCTTGGGGCCTCCTTTATAAAGGCACTAATCCCATTCTTAAGGGCTCTACCTTCATGACCTAATCACCTCCCCAAGGGGAACATCTCCTAATACCATTGTCAGGCCTTTGAGCCCAAAGGCTGGATGTACACTGTGACCTGCACGTGTACATCCACATGGCCTGAAGCAACTGAAGATCCACAAAGGAAGTGAAAATAGCCTTAACCGATGACATTCCACCATTGTGATTTGCTCCTGTCCCACCCTAACTGATACATATATTCTCCCCCACCCTTAAGAAGGTACTTTGTAATATTCTCCCCCGCCCTTAAGAATGTACTTTGTACACCTACCCCAAACCTATAAGAACTAATGATAATCCCACCATCCTTCGCTGACTCCTTTTTCAGACTCAGCCCGCCTGCACTCAGGTGAAATAAACAGCCTTGTTGCTCACACAAAGCCTGTTGGTGGACTCTTCTCACGGACGCGCGTGACAACCATTGCCTTGGGGGTTAGGATTTCAACATATCAATTTTGGAGAGACGAAAACATTCAGACCATAGCAGCCAGATAGTTACTATTACAGGCCGCGTGGACCATGAGGTCTGTTAGAATCACTCAACCCTGCCTTTGTAGTGTGAAAGCAGCCATAGACAGTATGTAAATGCAGGTGCATAGAATACACAATAAAATTTTATTTATAAAAATAGGCAGTATGCGTCTGACAAGGGTCTCATATCCAGAATCTATAAGGAACTTAAATAACCCAACGAGCAAAAGCCAAATAACCCCATTAAAAAATTGTCAAAAGACTTGAACAGACACTTCTCAAAAGAAGACAGACAAGCAGCCAACAAACATATGAAAAATAGTCTACCCACATCTCCAATCACCAGAGAGAAATGCAAATCAGAACTACAATGAGATACCATCTCATACCAGTCACACTTGGCTATTGTTAAAAAGTCAGGCTGGGCACGGTGGCTCACACCTGTAATCCCAGCACTTTAGGAGACCAAGGTGGGCGGATCGCCTGAGATCAGGAGTTCGAGACCAGCCTGGCCAACATGGTGAAACCCCATCTCTACTAAAAATACAAAAATTGCCTGGGCATGGCGGTGGGTGCCCATAATCCCAGCTACTCCAGAGGCTGAGGCAGGAGAGTTGCTTGAACCCGGGTGGTAGAGGTTGCAGTGAAGTGAAATTGTGCCATTGCATTCCAGCCTGGGTAACAAAAGCGAAACTCCATCTCAAAAAGAAAAAAGGCTTATATTGTTGGTGGGAATGTAAATTAGTTCAGCCACTGTGGAAAGCAGTTTGGAGATTTATCAAAAAACTTAACAGAGAACTACCATTTGACCCAGGAAGCCTATTACTGGGTATATATCTGAAAGAAAATTAATTGTTTTACCGAAAAGACACATGCACTTAAATGTTCGTGGCATCACTATTCACAAGAGCAAAGACATGTCATCAATCTAGGTACCCATCCACAGTAAACTGCATAAAGAAAATGTGGTACCTATGCGTCATGAAATACTACGGATTGGATAAAGAAAATGTGGTACATATACACCATAGAATACCACGCAGCCATAATAAGATTGACATCATGTCCTTTACAGCAACATGGATGCAACTGGAGGTTGTTATCCTAAGCAAATTAATGCAGGAACAGAAAACCACATACAGCGTATTATCACTTATAGTGGGAGCTAAACAAGGGGTACTCATGGACATAAAGATAGCAACAATAGACTAGCCACTACTAAGTGGGAGGAAGGGGGATCGAACAAGGGTTGAAAAATTACCTATTGGTTGGGCTTTGCTCACTACCTGGTTGATGGGATCAATTGTACTGCAAACCTCAGCATTATGCAATATATCCATGTAACAAACCTGCCCATGTATCCCTTGAATCGAAAATAAAAGTTGAAATTATTTTTTATAAAAAGGCAGCCGTGTGCTCTATAGCAATCAATAATGGGGAGAAAACAAACAAAAACATCGGGATAGCATGACCAGTCTATTAAAAATGCTTTTCCATTTCCATGATTTTATTTTAGCACAGAATGAATGAGTTTATTTTGTTTCTACGTTTTTAGTAATAGCAAAAAAAAAAGGTATTCAGTTTTAGTATACTTATATAAAGATCTGCTTTAACTCGTCAGCCTCTTGTAGCATTAGTTTCTGTTGTCTTTGATTTTTAACTGTTATGCATTGTTGGAACACAGCAGCTGATTTTGAACAGCTCCAAAATGTAACTCAAAATCCTTTTGGCTGAATATATATTTGTGTTTTAACAAACTAAGTCATTAGTGAAGAAATTAGCATTAACAGTCCTCGTTTTGTAATGGATTGGGGCTTGGATCAAATATAGATTGTGACAGCCATAGAGAATTGCCTCTGTATTCTATGATACCTTTGTAAATGTAAAACTTTGTATTTCTTTTCTAAGAATATTAACTCCATTTGAGATGTATGACCCTTTCCACAGGGTTCCTCTGGGGCCCTTCCCAATACTATGTAACTCTTAGAGGTGATGTTTTCTGTATGTTGGGTCTAATTGGTGTGAATGGGACCCATTCTCATTGTTGACAAGGCAAGCTTGTTCAGAAAACATGAACACAGAGGTACACATTTAGCTTTACAAGTTCATGCTAAAATTTCTGATAATGAAATTTATTTTCTCTTCTTTCCTTTTTAAACTTCAAGAAAAGGCATATACTATTTTATATTTTGTGGTGGCTAGTACCTAAAAATACCACGATTTTTAATCCCGTTTTATACATTGTGTTATTTCTGTTTATTTATGTCTTATTTTACATATTTCTCTTATTTAACAAACTAAGAAATCTTGTGTACTATAAACCTCAAGGAGAATGTCATGATCTCCATGGATTGGGATGCACTGTTGCAGGATTACACTTTCAGTGCCAAGAAGCTTCATAAACTGGCCCTAACCCACCTGTCCCCTCCCCCACTCACTCTGTACATGAGGCACACCAGATATGCCCCACGTTCAAGACTTTACTCATGCACATACTGCCCTTCCTTTCCTGGAAAGCCTGAAAATGGTCATGAACGTATTCTTTAAGGCCCCACCTCTGTGTTGCTTCGTGTACGCCCTCCTTCGGGTAGCGTTACCGGCTTCCTCTGCTAAACACCACGTCTCAGTTGTTTGCCTTTTCTTCCCTCAACTGTGATGTCTTCATCTTTGGATATTAGTCCCCTCTCCCAAACACCACCTGTCACCTATCACAGTGCCTTGTAACAGTCACATTGAGCACAGATAATTACATGTTGTACTGAATGCACCTATGTAGAAAAAGGAAGACACTGGTCATTGTACACCAATTAATCATGTGTTTTTTTTCCTCTTTCTTTGTTTTATCTTTAGGCATTCTGGAAGTTTTACACTGTGTTTTAGTAGAAAGTCCAGAAGCTCTAAATATTATTAAAGAAGGACATATTAAATCTATTATCTCACTTTTAGACAAACATGGAAGAAATCACAAGGTAAATGAACTATTTTATTTCCCTGAATGAATTCTCAAATCCTTTTAGATATATTTTTAAATACAATAACTTTTAAAAAGTGTGTCAAATTTTTCATGAGTGTTTTTAATCTCTTAATTATTTTTTGAGATGCAGTCGAGCTCTGTCGCCCAGGCTGGAGTGCAGTGGCGCGATCTCAGCCCACTGCAACCTCCGCCTCTAGGGTTCAAGCATTCTCCTGTCTCAGCCTCTCAAGTAGCTGGGACTACAGGTGCATGCCACCATGCCCGGCTAATTTTTGTATTTTTAGTAGAGACAGGGTTTTACCATATTGGTCAGGCTGGTCTTGAGCTCCTGACCTCAGGTGATCCACCTGCCTTGGCCTCCCAAAATTCTGGGATTACAGGCATGAGCCACCGCGCCTGGGCTTCATCTCTTAATCATGATCAAGTAATATTTTTTAGTGTTTATTCATAGCATCAGTGGGAACATGAACAGTTCTCAATTTATATATGAAGAAAAGTTGGAAAATTAGTGGGAAACTACTGTAATGTTTAAATAACTGAGTCAAATGTAACTGGAGGAATGCATTTGCTTTGTAAAAAAGTGCTGCTGATGCTTGATTCTGAAGGGGGAATTCGAATCAGCTGACAGTGACTGCACCCAGTGGCTCATGCCTGTCATTGCAGTAATTGGGGAAGCCAAGATGGGAGGGTTGCTTGAGGCCAGGAGTTTGAGACCAGCCTGGGTAATATAGCAATACCCTGTCTTTACAAAAAAAGAAAATTAGCCAGATGTGGTGGCATGCACCTACAGAGGCTGAGGTAGGAGGATTCTTTGTGCCCAGGAGTTCAAGTCTGCAGTGAGCTATGATCGCATCACTGCACTTCAGCCTGGGTGACAGAGTGAGATGCTGTCTGAAAGGAAGGAAGGAAGGAAGGAAGGAAGGAAGGAAGGAAGGAAGGAAGAAGGGAAGGAAGGAAGGGAGGGAGGGAGGGAGGGAAAGCAGGGAGGGAGGGAGGATCAGCTGAAAGTAATTTCTCTTTTCAGGTTCTGGATGTCTTGTGCTCACTCTGTGTTTGCCACGGGGTTGCAGTCCGTTCTAACCAGCATCTCATCTGTGACAATCTCCTACCAGGAAGAGACTTGTTATTGCAGACACGTCTTGTGAACCATGTCAGCAGGTAAATTCAGACAGACAATGTCACCTGACAGGTACCATAATAAAAGAATTAATGTTCTTGCCCTGTAGCTGATACTATATGGTCTGTTTTTTAAATTAGACCATATAGTATTATTTTCTGTATTTTTGCAGTGAATAATATGTCTTTTTCTCTAACAATCAGATGGGCTAATAATAAATGAACCTAGCAAAATATGGATTTGCCGCAAACACATGTATAAGAGCTTTTATTCACATTCCTATGTAGATACATAACCATTGGCATCTTCAGGACCACCCTGACAACTGTATAGGTATATGGTTGTATATAATTGTACTTTACATCTTCTTAGAATGTAACTAAAAACACTATCCTTCAATATCATTGTTTTTTTCTTTTTTTTTAAGACAGAGTCTCGCTCTGTCGCCCAGGCTGGAGTGCAGTGGCACGATCTCGGCTCACTGCAAGCTCCACCTCCCGGGTTCAGGCCATTGTCCTGCCTCAGCCTCCCGAGTAGCTGGGACTACAGGTGCCCGCCACCACGCCTGGCTAATTTTTTGTATTTTTAGTAGAGACAGGGTTTCACCGTGTTAGCCAGGATGGTCTCGAACTCCTGACCTCGTGATCTGCCCGCCTTGGCCTCCCAAAATGCTGGGATTACAGGCGTGAGCCACTGCGCCCAGCCCCTTCAATATCATTTTGAGGTACCTGCTATGTGCAATCAAAAATAGAATGTCCAAAATGTAATAAATTATGCAAATAACCAATAAAACTACATCTTCAGTTAGATCTGCCTTCCAAGGCACCTAACGTTCATTGAATACCATGTGCCAGCTGTGGCGCTAAGGGCTTTACGTGTATTCTCTACTGTTTGTGTCTGTGCTTTCCTAGGAACCATGATGATTCACATTTTATAGACGAAAAAACTGGAACTGGAAGTGGAACTTAGATCTAAATCCAGAGACTGAGCTTATAACCACCGCGCCACACTGCCTTTCTTATCCCCTGTATTAGTCAGGCTTCTCTAGAGGCACAGGGCGAATAGGATAGCTGTATATATGAAAGGGAGTTTATTAAGGAGCATTGACTCACATGATCACCAGGTGAAGTCCCACAAAAAGCCGTCTGCAAGCTGAGGAACAAGGACGCCCGTCTGAGTCCCAAAACCTCAAAAGTAGGGAGGCCAGAAGTGCAGCCTTCAGCCTGTGGCTGAAGGCCCGAGAGCCCCTGGCAAACCACTGCTAAGTCCAAGAGTCCAAAAGCTGAAGAACTTGGGAGTCCAATGTTCAAGGGCAGAAAGCACCCAGCACGGGAGAAAGATGAAGGATGGAAAACTCAACCAGTCTAGTCTTTCTGCGTCCCTCTGTCTGCTTTTATTCTAGCTGTGCTGGCAGCTGATTAGATGGTGCCCACCCAGATTGAGGATGGGTCGGCCTCTCCCAGCCCACTGACTCAAATGTTAATCTCGTTTGGCAACCCCCTCACAGACACACCCAGGAACAATACTTTGCATCCTTCAATCCAATCAAGTTGACACTCAGTATGAACCATCACATCCCTCAAATGAACACATAAATAAATGATAAGAAATAACGGCTTACAATCAACAAAACGCTGTGTGTGATAGTAGTAACATTGACATACTGTATCTAGCAGCTAGCCTGGAGAAACTGATAACTTCCTCCTGTTTTAAACAGAAATGTGGGGTTTGTTGTGTATTTCTATGATGTGTTTTGTTTTTTGAGACAGAGTCTTGCTCTGTCACCCAGGCTGGAGTGAAGTGGCATGGTCTCAGCTCACTGCAATCTCTGCCTCCTGGGTTCAAGCCATTCTCCTGCCTCAGCCTCCTGAGTAGCTGGGATTACAGGTGCACACCACCACACCCAGCTAATTTTTGTATTTTTAGTAGAGACGGGGTTTCACCATGTTGGCCAGCCTGGTCTCGAACTCCTGACCTTGTGATCCGCCCGCCTTAGCCTCCCAAAGTGCTGGGATTACAGGTGTGAGCCACTGCACCCAGCTAATGTGTTTTTTAAAAATATATAATATACATATATACTTATTGCATATTCACTCTAGGGCAAAGACTTTACATTTATTCTATTATTCAATCCTCACAAGATGCTTAAATTTATAGATGTTTACCAGTCCATTTTCCAGGAGGATAAATGGAGGATGAGCAAGGTTTCATAACTAGTGCCGGGTCACAGAGCTAGCAAATGGATGCTCAAATTTTCTCTCTTGACTCGGAAACCCATGGTCTTCCAACTGTACTTCCAACCACACTGTGCTGGAAAAATGGAAATTGTTAGGAAATGGATACAGCTGGTTTTTTTCTTTCGCTCCTTTTGAGGAGCTCCTTTTTAAAATAAATCAATTACATATTAAATTATGTTACCTCTGCTGAGCTAGGAAGCAAAGTCCAAGCACCTTCTATGTTTTTGTTTGTTTGTTTGTTTTACAGTATTGATTTAAGATTTCCTTCATGATTCTTTATATAACAGACCTGCCGTTTATGAGTGATATGTTCTGAGACCTTCATTCATTTCTACCTAGTATTACCATAGGGTATATGTCCACTCCTAAAATGGAATTAAATACAACTTACTGTTGTATTTTTTCTGTTCACAGTGAGGCATAATGAACAACAAAGCTTATTAATCACCTTGGTTCCTTCATAAACAACATGACCTACCTCAGCCCCATGCCCCATGTGACACAAAGCTTAGCTTAGGAAAATTTCTCCATGTCCGGAATTCCCAATAACTCCATTAATTCTAAAAGTCTGCTCTGAGTGTCTCAGTTTATGACATAAATATGATTAATGATACACAACATGCTGAAGAGGAATTAAGACAAAATAACATTAGTTCCTTGGGTGACACTGCCAAGAAATCTCAGAAGCAAAACTGCTGATGGAATGTTCACAGTGAAGCTGGCTTTCTCTGTGTACTACCTCAGTGGTAGTTTTAATAATTTTTTAGTAATTAAGGAAATATATATTTAATATGTGGCATCTTAGAGAAGCATGACTAATGTTTAAAATAGTGAGATGTGGCTGGGCACGGTGGCTCATGCCTGTTATTCCAGCACTTGGGAGGTCGAGGCAGGAGGATCACTTGAGCTCAGAAGTTTGATACCATCCTGGGCAACATAGCAAGATCTCATCTCTACTAAAAATAAAAAAGAAAATTAGTTGGGCGTGGTGGCACTCGCCTTTAGTGCCAGTTATTCAGGAGGCTGAGGTGGGAGGATTCCTTGAGCCTGGGAGATGGTGGCTGCAATAAACTATGATTGCACTACTGCGCTTCAGCCTAGGCAACAGAGCAAGACTCTGTCTCAATAAAATTAAATGAAATACACAAGTGAAATTGTGAGATGTAAATGAAAACAATGAAAGGTTTTTTTGGACTTTCCTTACATGTGATTCCCGTCTCTTTAAAGCATGAGACCCAATATTTTTCTGGGCGTCAGTGAAGGTTCTGCTCAGTATAAGAAATGGTACTATGAATTGATGGTGGACCACACAGAGCCCTTTGTGACAGCTGAAGCAACTCACCTGCGAGTGGGCTGGGCTTCCACTGAAGGATATTCTCCCTACCCTGGAGGGGGCGAAGAGTGGGGTGGAAATGGTGTTGGAGATGATCTCTTCTCCTATGGATTTGATGGCCTTCATCTCTGGTCAGGTACGTACTATCCATTTTCTTTCACCGTGTTCCAGAAGATCTTTTGCTGGGCATTTCTGAAAGCTATTGGTGCTGCTTCCATTAGGTACTTCTATAGGGTATTAATTATTCAGAAATTTAGCATTGAGATGATGAGTAAGAGTGTTGAGGAACAAGCAGTATTTCACTAGGGGAAAAAGAAAATACTTAAAATTATAGTACATTTCCAAGGGACTGCCGAGCTTGTGAACAATGCTGTGTATTTAAAGAGTAGATTTAAATAAGAGTGTATTGCTTAGGAACAATACTGTGTATTTAAAGAGTGCATTCCGAAGCATGAATGAACTGCAAGAAACTTGTGAGTTTTCTGCTTTAATTGGTATGTTTAAAGCTTTAGTTGCCAACATAAAAGAACAAAAAACAAATCTTGGAAAATAATGGGAAGAAATAGACTAAGTTCAGCCTTCTGTTAGATAATGTAATGGTGGGAAATCAATAATTTGTAAAGTGTGGTATGAGGACTCAGATCATAACAAATGACACTTTGTTTCAGAAGTATAAAATGGTTTAAAAATAAAGGAATAGGTCATTTCACCAGCTACCAACTCTTAGCTTTGATGGTTGAGTATATATTAAAAATGAATACTTTATATTAAAAAATAATATTCTTTTCTCTGATTCATGAAGAAGTAGAGTTTGGTTAGCTCCATTTAAAAGCTTAGCTCTTGATTATGTAGATTTTTTAGATGTTAAAATTCATCTGGATTCTGCAGACATAAGCTTATATTAATAAAGCTGCATTTGGAATATAGTCCTGGTATGATCTTGGCATAGTTTATAAATTATTTAGCATATGGAAGATGCAGAAAGTTACCTTAAGTTATAAAGCTGAACTTTGCCTCATGTGGAGTACAAATGATAGACATTTATGAATGCTTTATGGGCCTAAAACTTATGAAAAATAAGAAATAAGTTGAACTACACCTAAGATTTTATGCTAATGAGTTTATATCTAAAAGCATTCCATGTAGTTGTATCTAACAATGATACTTACTGAATTCTTTCTTCATTGAGTGCCAATAGCTCAGTTGTCTAGACGAGAGGAAGCTGTATTTTGATTTTTTGTGAATTTTTAATTTTTTTTTTTCGAGACAGAGTCTTGCTCTGTTGCCCAGGCTGGAGTGCAGTGGTGCAATCTTGGCTCATTGCAGCCTCTGCCTCCCGGGTTCAAGCGATTCTCATGCCTCAGCCTCCTGAGTAGCTGAGACTAACAGGCTTGCACCACCATGCCCGGCTAATTTTTATATATATTTTAGTAGAGTCGGGGTTTCACCATGCTGGCCAGGCTCATCTTGAATTCCTGGTCTCAAGTGATCTGCCTGCCTCCGCTTCCCAAAGTGCTGGGATTACAAGTGTGAGCCACCGTACCCAGCCTCAATTTTTAATTTTTGTGAGTACATAAAAGGTATATATATATTTATGGGGTTGAAGCTGTGTTTTGCATATTTCATCTAACCTCTGAGGAATGTGGTTGGAGTCCTCACAGTACTGTAGACTGCTTTGTACAAAGGCGACCTGTGCCAGCCAGACCATAGTCACAGTGCCTTGTTCCCACAGGAAAATTGTCCTGCTGACCAAGCAGAGAGAAAGAGCCCTAACTTCAGAAGACCTATTAAACACAAAATAGGGCTAAAGTCCATGTTATAAAACATTTGAACTATAATCCTTTAGATACTATTACCCCCTCTCTCCCTAGCTCCTAGTATTGCTCTGCAGGAAATAAGTACTCAAATGAATAAATGAAGCACGTGGACTTGTTTTCCCATTACACAGAGATTAGATGAAAAAAAAAAAACATTGATCGACAATGCCAAGTTGCTTTCATTTAGTCTCTCCATACAATAACATATTTTACTATTTTTGTTTTGTATTCAATTTGAAGCTTTTTCTTTCGATACATTAAAAGTACCTGGTTCTTATGGAATTGAATTGTATGCGTTATACCTTTTATTACAAAGTATCTGTTCAGTAGAACAATAAGAACAACAAAAAAAAATTTAGTGAATCTGTGGACATGTACCAGAAAGGACGATAGGCAGTGGAATTTCAGGAGAAAAGCATCTTGAAATTTTATTCATTTTTTTTAAATGGCAAGAAAATACGTATCATATCAGGCCTACAGTTGAAAAGTATTTTCTCTTAAGCCACTGGGAGTCTATTAAATGCTTTGCTGATTTTAGATTCGTAATTAATGAAGACAAATCTAAATTAGTTGGAATGTGAGTTATGAAGCTCGAATTCATAGTAACAGATAACCTTCTTGGGGGTCGTTCTCCTGTTTTCTTCTTAATGGTTGATGTACAATTTGAAGTATCAAATATCAGTGATTTCCAGGATAGAGCACCTTCTCTGCCACTTAACATTTTGTAATTGGAGAGTGGCAGTATTTCTCGGAACAAGGATTGGGCTCATAAGCAAAAGTTTTTAGCTATGTCTTCATTTCTTCTCTTCAATTTAAACTTTGCGGTGTTGCTACACTTCCTCTCTGTCAATGCAGAACTGGATTTTGGGAATCCAGGTCCCAGGTGTTTGAGAGGACCAAAAGTATAAAAAAATCTTGGTGCTTTGAGAGAATTTAAATATAGAAGTAGTGTGGAGGAATGTACAGGAAAGATGGGTACAGGTTTCTAATAGAGGGTCTATAAAGCTATCGTATCCCTCCAAGTGAAAAATATATTTGATTATAATAGATATCGTGTAAATAACATCGCTATTAGCTACAGATCATGGTACAAACAAGAAACTAGACCTTTTTCTGCATTGCTTTTATATGACTTTTTTAAAAAGCTGCCTTTATTATATTCAGGGAATTCTAGAAGAGACACTTGATAGTGAATTTATTGCCTGTGGATTTGAATATTGGTAAAATAGAAAGTGTCCACATTAAAAAAAAAATAGGTATTCTCTACTACTGGCATTTCAGATATGTCCTTGGTAGAGATATTGGCATGCTAGAAATAAAAAGAATTATTAAAAATACAAAGCATGTATCACAAAGTCTATTTTTGTCTTTGCTCAAGTTGAAGGTTTTGTTTATGTTTATGAGCATGTGTGTTTGGGAGAACCTTACCTTCTTTTCTTTCATTGTGCAGTGAGAAGCAGATGCTCTCGGGACGAATTAGCAAAGGAGTTCTTCGAATCAGGAATGGGCTTAGACCATAGGTTGGTCTTGCCGGGGCAATAAATAACATTTATCCAATATCATTTTCACACCTCCAGTTATATCCTGCTTTACTTAAGAAGCCAACCAAGATCTTGTGTGAAATAAATGAAAAACTATAGGCCAATTGGCCTATAGTTGTCTCACAATAAGCAACGTGCTGCAGGAATGAATGATCATATTTTCTGCTTTCGTTATCTTTATGTATTTTTATTTTAAATTGATAGAATGAAGGGAGTTTAGCATTTGAAAAAGGGACTGACATGAAGTACCTGCTGTGCCTGAGACTCTGTTACTTGTAAAACATTAATCGTCAAAATAACTAAACAAGGTGATGGTACTTGGTGTTCTGTTTATAAGACATCCAAATTAAGAGAGGTTAAGTAATTTGGTTATGGTCTTACAAGTAGTAGATGGTAAGGTAGCTATTTGAAGTCCCTGGAGATGTTCCTTTGACATCATTATATAATCTGCTCATAGATAATTTCTGGATCAGTTGCCATCCGTCTACATGCAGAAGTTTCTGTGTATCAGAAGGTCCATTTTACAACATAAGTAGCAGCCTGACTCCTGAAATAATCTTTTTATTTTTTTGACAAAGAGTTTAACATGTAACATGCGTTTACATTCAAGATTTATTCCTTCTGATGTTGTGCATTGGTTTGTCACTACTTATTCAAATCTTTTGACTTTGGCTCTGAAGCTGATTCTCTGAGATAAAAAAATACATGACCTTCCTTAATGTTTTCCCCCCAATAGGTTGTATTGCTCGTACTGTAAGCTCACCAAACCAACATCTGTTAAGAACTGATGATGTCATCAGTTGCTGTTTAGATCTGAGTGCCCCAAGCATCTCGTTCCGAATTAATGGACAACCTGTTCAAGGAATGTTTGAGAATTTCAACATCGATGGCCTCTTCTTTCCAGTCGTTAGTTTCTCTGCAGGAATAAAGTTAGTATGTCTATGTTTTTTGGTCTCTTTCCTTTCTCATTTCTCATACCTCCACAGAAGACTCTGCACTGCCATTGCCCTTCTTCTCTAACCATTGTTTGTCTCTCCTGGGCACCTGTCCTCTGCGCATTTTGCCTGTGCCTTGAAGGAGGAGGTAAGCCTCACCTAAGATGGGCATCCTGCAAGGCTGAATGCTTTGTTTACGGATCCCACAGTGTTTAGATGTGGGCAGTCTCCCTCAAACCAGGGTCCTGAACTATTTCAAGGTGTTTTTTTTTTTTTTTTTAGTTCATTTATTTAGATGAAATGAGCAAGGCTGTTTTAAAAAATACTGCTTATTTTCTTATATTTTCATTCATTTTCCTTTTTTAAGACATAGTTCCTCACCCCATTGCACACCCTCTTATTTCAATAGAAATTAAATATCCTTTTTGTTGATGAGGCCCAGATGGCTTTCTTCAGTGTTCCTCTCCACCTTTATTCTCTTTATTCCTTTATTCTCTGCCCATGGTCAATGGTGCCAAGATGGTTTCCTCACACTCTTTCCTTTTTTGCTATTACCAGAGGGAAACAAATTAAAGTGATAATCCATTGTAGTTCTGCAAATGAAACTTTAATAAATGATGGTCTGTTATAATAAGTAACTACTCTGTCACTTATTTTTATACACACACACACCTGTACACTTAGAAGGACTCCATTTGTTTCAGTTATTCTTTTAGTTATAATTCTCCCAGGAATAATTCCTAGTTACAAAAGCATCATATTGAAGAAGAAACAGAGTAATCATGAATATTAGCTATCCACGTACCAGTTACTTTTTCTGATGTATTTATACAAATTATGTTTCTATAAGCTTCTGGAATGTTTTAACATTTTTATTTTTCCTCACTTTTCTTTGCTTTTCTTTATTTTTTTGGACTGGACCTGATACACAAATTAGAAAAAGAATTATGGACAGGTGCAGTAGTTTGCACCTGTAATCCCAGCACTTTGGGAGGCCGAGGTGGAAGGATTGCTTAAGGTCAGGAGTTTGTGACCAGCCTGGTCAACACAGTGAGACCCTATCTCTGCAAAAGTTTTGTTTTGTTTTGTTTTGTTTCTTTAGTTAGCACCTAGTTTTGTATGCCTGTAGTCTTAGCTACCCGGGAGGCTGAGTTGGGAGGATCACTTGAACCCAGGAGCTGGAGGCTGTAGTAACCTGTGACTGTGTCACTGCACCCCTGCCTGAACAACAGAGTGAGACCTTGACACACACAAAAAAAGAATTACGAGGAAAATGAAAAATTTAAATTTATTTTTGTAAACCCGAGGGCCCCAGGAAATATATATCATTTAACTGTTTCAAAAAGTGTTTTTCAATGGAACTCAGATTAAAATAGTTTTGCTTAAATGAGCAGAATGTATAAAAGATTTTAGTAAGTTCTTTTTCGTTGTTGAGATTGATAAACAATTAGCGATAAGGTTACCTGCTTTCTTCAAGTTGAAGTGACATCAGAATCTCCTTTAAAGCAGCAGTCCCCAACCTTTTTGGCCTTAGGCACCGCTTTTGTGGAAGACAATTTTTCTACGGGCCAGGGCTGGGGTTGAAGGTGGGGATGGTTTCAGGATGAAACTGTTCCAGCTCAGATCATCAGGCCTTAGTTCGATTCTCATAGGGAATGAGCAACCCAGATCCCTCACAGACACAGTTCACAATAGGGTTCGCACTCCTATGAAAATCTAAGGCCACTGCTGATCTCACAGGGGGCAGAGCTCAGGCGGTAATGCTCTCTTGCCCACACAGCTCACCTCCTCCCTTGTGCAGCCTGGTTCCTAACAGGCCGCGGACTGGTACCTGTCGTGGCCTGGGGGTTGGGGCCCCTGCTTCAGAGAATTTCATTAGGAAATTGGACATTGAAAAGTGACCAAGAAAGTGAAAAAAGAATCTAAAAAAAAAAAAAGAAAAGAAAAGTGACTGGTTTTTCCCCTCATTCCTTGTTAAATCCTGTAATTTTAAGCATATAGATATTTAGATCAGGTCTTTTCTTTATCTTTCGGTACTTTGGGACTTTAAGTGACCAGTTATTACGGACATGCACTTCATTCCCGTAAGAATGTGGTGCATGTGCTTTTGGTTACTTCTCCAGCAGGTGATGTCTTCACTGACCCATTAATTAACTTAAGCAGGTTTTCTCTTTTGATGAATATGATGTCCTCATGTTTTACCTTTTACAATTAGAGGCCCTTGAATTCTAAGGTGATCACATTATGATGGTACGTAGGGGAAAATGTGGCTTCTGATAAAATACTTTTGTACTAACAATTTTTCCCTAAGATTTTGTGAATTAGAAAACTTTAATGTACACCAGAGATAAAATTGACTCTAACGTGCATCCTCTTTAGAGTACGCTTTCTGCTTGGAGGGCGACATGGAGAATTCAAATTTCTTCCTCCACCTGGGTATGCTCCTTGTTATGAAGCTGTTCTGCCAAAAGAAAAGTTGAAAGTGGAACACAGCCGAGAGTACAAGCAAGAAAGAACTTACACACGCGACCTGCTGGGCCCCACAGTTTCCCTGACGCAAGCTGCCTTCACACCCATCCCTGTGGATACCAGCCAGGTACCAAGATCCACTCGAATGGCAATCACTGGTATTGCAGTCATGCTGATACACAGTGGCTTTACACTTGGACCACAACCCATAGGAACGAATTTCACAGTAATACAGTTGTACAGTTGACATGTAGGACTGAAATGAGTCTCATAAAATAACACTTACCTTTACCATGTCCACTCACTCATTTTCTATTCTATTCTATGTTTTTGTTGTCGTTGTTGTTGTGATGGAGTCGTGCTCTGTTGTCCAGGCTGGAGTGCAGTGGTGCAATCTCGGCTCGCTGCAACCTCTGCCTCCTGGGTTCAAGCGATTCTCCTGTCTCAGCCTCCCAAGTAGCTGGGATTACAGGCGCCCACCACCACACCTGGCTAATTTTTGTATTTTTAGTAGAGATGGGGTTTCATCACGTTGGCCAGGCTGGTCTTGAACTCCTGATCTCAGGTGATCCACCCGCTTTGGCCTCCCAAAGTGTTGGGATTATAGGCATTAGCCACTGTGCCTGGCCTCTATTCTATGTTTTAAGTAGTTTTCCCAACCCAATAAACTGATTCCCTAATGTACGAACAGATTACAACCTGAGGTGTTAAAAACACTGTTCAAGGTTGTCTTTAAAGTTTTATTAAAATAATTAATATTACTTAGTTTATAAAGTGCATATTATACTTTTCATGCACGTCTGTGTGAAGAGACTACTAAACAGGCTTTGTGTGAGCAATAAAGCTTTTAATCACCTGGGTGCAGGCGGGCTGAGTCCGAAAAGAGAGTCAGCAAAGGGTGGTGGATTATCATTAGCTCTTATAGGTTTTGGGATAGGCAGTGAAGTTAAGAGCAATATTTTGCGGGCAGGGGTGGATCTCACAAAGTACATTCTCAAGGGTGGGGAGAATTACAAAGAACCTTCTTAAGGGTGGGGGAGATTACAAAGTACATTGATCAGTTCGGGTGGGGCAGAAACAAATCACAATGGTGGAATGTCATCAGTTAAGGCTATTTTTACTTCTTTTGTGGATCTTCAGTTACTTCAGGCCATCTGGATGTATACATGCAAGTCACAGGGGATGCGAAGGCTTGGCTTGGGCTCAGAGGCCTGACAATACTTTTAAAAATAGGCAATAATAGCAACAGGTGGAACTTAGTGACAAAAATCGTGCAAGAAATTTTAAGGTATAATAGTGTTAAGATGATTTAATATCTGGGGTAATGTACTGCACTTGAAGTAATATCATACAGATGTGACACACACCGATCTTAGAGTGTAGTTCTTAAGCCCCCAACCTTTTTGGCACTAGGTACCGGTTTCCTGGAAGACAATTTTTCCACGAGCCGGTGGGCTGGGGTTGAAGGTGGGGATGGCTTTGGGATGAAACTGTTCTCTCTCACATCATCAGGCATTAGTTAGAGTCTCATAAGGAGTGCGCAGTTCACAATAGGGTTCACACTCCTATGAGACTCTAAGGAGAATATAGAGAAAGATGAGGATGCCGTATAGGAAACATGGAGTTTTCAATTTCTTCTCATTTCCTTCTTCGATACGCTTATTTGGAAGATATTTAGCTGACTTTTATCTTGGGTATAGATTAAGATCATGAACTCTAGAGTCAAAGTGCCTGGCATCAAGTACTCTTCCCTTAGGGGAGCTGCTCACCTTCTTTACTGGGATGCTTAGAGTATGTTTGTCATAGTTAATAGATACCATATTACTTGGCAAATAGTCACCCAACAAATGTTAGCTGTTGTTCCTCTTTTTCTGTTTCATAGATGTAATGGTGTTCTGAGGTTGGCTATGAATTCAATATCGACTTATATTGATGGTGAAGTAGCTTCAGTGAGGTTGTTTAGATATTCAAAGTTTGTTTCTTAGTTTTTAAAGATCAAAGACATTGCTTCCAAAGTCTGAACTTGAATTAATACCATGCCTCCAAAGCTTCAGTTGCTTAGCAATCAGATTTTTAGCTCCTCAAATCGTATTTCTTGTTCCCCCTTTTTATATCATGTTGTTAAAATAAACATGCAAACATTGTTCATGGCCAAAATTCAGTTTGCATTGCCCATTGCTAAAAGGTGGGAGGATATGTATAGTGCAACCTAAGTTTATAGGAAAAAAGATTTGGGAGACTAGAAATGAACAACTAGATGACATCATGGTAGAAACTTAAGGATTACCTGAGACCCAGATAACCTCTATCAGGGAAAGGAAACAGTTATCACCTGCTTCTCTTGGGAATGCCACCTCGTCGTTGGGCATTGTGGTCATTTGCCCACTCTATGTGTTGCGAGACTAGCTGTGGGGTCACACAGAAGTGCTTAATCAAGACGTAAACAACCAGTCCCTTACCTTGGGTTTTTTATGAACATTCAATTTCTTCCTTTTAATGGGAACATATAAAGATTTTGTTTCTTTTCTGTGAAGCTTATATTTAGAAACCACTAACAGTAACAGAGTAGAGTGTAGGGGAAGATATCAATCACTAGTCAGACATTTATACGCTCAAAGATCCGATGGACTATAATGTGGGCACTGAATTGCCTTTACTCTGGCTAATGAATGCTGGCCCAGTTGGTGTAAGAGCTTGGGGATGATTTCTCATTTTAAATTATACATTCCTTGGTAGTAGCCCCATATCCATTAAACATCTTTTGGTTGTCCCCACCAACACTCCTTTTTTTTTTTTTCTGGTGGCTCATAAATTGATTTGGAAACCTAAGTTGTCAAAAAAAAAAGGTACCAAAATTTATTTAAAGAATATCATGAAGGCTGGGCGCAGTGGCTCACGCCTGTAATCCCAGCACTTTGGGAGGCCGAGGCGGGCGGATCACGAGGTCAGGAGATCGAAACCATCCTGGCTAACACGGTGAAACCCCGTCTCTACTAAAAATACAAAAAAATTAGCCGGGCGTAGTGGTGGGCACCTGCATTCCCAGCTACTCGGGAGGCTGAGGCAGGAGAATGGTGTGAACCCGAGAGGCGGAGCTTGCAGTGAGCAGAGATCGCGCCACTGCACTCCAGCCTGGGCGACAGAGTGAGACTCCGTCTCAAGGGGAAAAAAAAAAAAAAAGAATGTCGTGAAATAGATGGCTTAGAACTTTGTTCTATGATTACTGGTTTATGAGGCAGTTTTATTTAGTTCAATTTGCAGTGAAGACTGTTGGCACTGCATCTTATTGCATTTGTTTCTGATGTGTCTTTTTTCTTTTTGTAAATTTTAGATCGTGTTGCCTCCTCATCTAGAAAGAATAAGAGAAAAACTGGCAGAGAATATCCATGAACTCTGGGTTATGAATAAAATTGAGCTTGGCTGGCAGTATGGTCCGGTATGTAATTTTGAAATTTATTTTCAGATTCTGTGAATACATCTTTCTGAAAACATAACTTTTTCTGCCTTTTCCCGCTATGGGGTGACATCAATCAGTTAGTTGGATTGATTTTTTTCCCCCTACACATTAGTTTTTGTGCAGTTTTGCCTTACTACGTTATTGTAGTTAATGGGGCTGACAGGCATTATTGGCAGGTTCACTGAAGGATGGTCTAGCTGCCTAGACAATGGAAAGTTATCAGTGTCTGGGCTGAAAGTTATATTTTCAAATCAAGGTTAACATATACAGATAATAGGCATTGATTTTTAAGCCACTTAAAAGATCTCAGTGAAATTGAAAGTGAAAACTGAAAATGAAAAGAAGGCAATTTACTTTTCTCTCGCTCATGTTTCTTTTCTTTCAGTTCCAATTGTGTGTAAAAGCGGAAACCTGTGGGCAAGTGTTCCTAGTTGGTTTCACAGGTAGAATGAAGACTGAGAAACCATGATTGCACATGCTTCTAAATGATACTTTGCTAAAGAGCTTAGTTTACAACTTAATACAATTTAGATTTAAAACAAACAACTACCTGTGTAATCCTAGTGTATATCATATACTTGTTTGTGTCAAAACCATGGTAATACTTTCATTTGTATGATATATTCTAAGTGTCCCAAAGGCCATAACACTTTCTTATACCTGACTGAATATGGAAATTAATGTATTTACCCTTCATAGTTTATTGCATTGAGCTCTGAATAAAGAATACTTAATATAACGTTAGTAGTAGTATCATGTGATACTCCACACTACTCAGTAATATTTATATATTTATTCAGTGTTTTGCATTCTTGCATACAGATTATTAGGTCAAATTGTCATTACAGTGAACTGGGTTGTGTTGTTATTTCAGTTGTACTGGTGATGACCTAGCGGAGAGTTCTTGCAGTTGCTAAATGCCTTGGCAGGCATCACATAGCTAGTGAGTAGCAGCTCCAAGACTGGAATCAAGGTTTTCTAAGACAGAATTTAGAAAGTGACTGCAAGTCACTGTAAGGCTTGCTGAAGCATGACCAGAAAATGGGATGCTTTTATTAACTAAATGATAGTTAGACATTTGTTACACCAACAAACACTTGGGTACCTAGTTTTGTGCTACGTTCATCAATTTTTTTTATTTTTTTGCTATAGAGTTTCGCTCTTGTTACCCAGCCTGGAGTGCAGTGGTGTGATCTTGGCTCACTGCAACCTCCACCTACCCGGTTTAAGCGATTCTCCTGCTTCAGCCTCCCAAGTAGCTGGTTTTACAGGCATGCACCACCACACGTGGCTAATTTTGTATTTTTAGTAGAGACCAGTTTCACCATGTGGCCAGGCTGGTCTCGAACTCCTGACCTCAGGTGATCTGCCCACCTCAGCCTCCCAAAGTGCTGGGATTACAGGCTGGATTACAGGCATGCCCGGCCTCATCAATTCTTAAAATTGAAGGACATGTATAAATGCTAAATAAAAGACTGGACCATCTATTAGTCAGTAGGAAGAGAGATGCTACAAATGTGTAAGTAATCAATTGCCAGAGGAATTACAGGCAACATTCTCCAGAAGTTTCAAAAATAGGAAGAGATGATTAGAGGCCAGGAAGATTTTTTAAAAAGTTCCCATTAAAAAAAAAAAAACAAACAAAATGTAAAACAAACAGCAAAACCCCATATTATAATAGCAAATATTTCAACGGGCTTCTAAGATGATCTCCACTGCAAACTCCTAGTAAGTTCACCTAAGTGGTTATGTTTTGCAGTGGAACCTTAGGTGTGTTTCTTCTTTAAGAACTGACTAAAATATAAAGTCTCACTATTATTGATTCTTCCAGTTACATTTAGTTCTGGTTGATACCATACATCACATTCCTGCCATGTTCAAGACACTCTTCGGGTTTTCTTTTTTTTTTTTTTTTTTTTTTTTTTGAGACGGAGTCTTGCTCTGTCGCCCAGGCTGGAGTGCAGTGGCGGGATCTCGGCTCACTGCAAGCTCCGCCTCCCGGGTTCACGCCATTCTCCTGCCTCAGCCTCCCGAGTAGCTGGGACTACAGGCGCCCGCTACCACGCCCGGCTAATTTTTTGTATTTTTAGTAGAGACGGGGTTTCACCGTGTTAGCCAGGATGGTTTCGATCTCCTGACCTCGTGATCCGCCCGCCTCGGCCTCCCAAAGTGCTGGGATTACAGGCGTGAGCCACCGCGCCCGGCCAGGGTTTTCAAATATTAAAGGATAATACAGTACCGTGGGGCCTTCTTGCCCGCAACTGACTCAAGTTATCCTTTGCTGGGTCTGAGGCCAGTTGAGGCAACACTGGGCTTGATGTACCTCTGGGGGAAACACTGAGCCCTTGGTCTGCTGCTGTTGTGTTAGCACCCGCACCTTTCCTGGTGCAGGAGGTGTTCTCTCATCTAATGTATGATTTGCAGTCTGCTTCTTTTCCAAGACCTTCCCTGAAACTCCTTTTTGTGTAGTAGTTAGAATCCTTGACCTTGTGATGTCAATTATTCTAGATTAAGATATGTGCCTGTTACTATGCTAATTTCATAAATTCATTAACATTTTAAATGAGGTTTTGAAGTATTCAAGTATATTTTTCTTTGGAGCAATTTATACTTAGCTACCCAGCATGCTGGATTTTTTGAAGAAGAGGAAGTTATCGTTACTTTGGGATATATTTCCCAGGAGTATGGTGCAAGGGCCCTATTTTGTGGAATAACAAGGCAGATCTGTCTATCATTTATTCGTCCCTTTAACATTTATTGTATGTCTACTATTTGCCTGGTGTGTTTAGTACTGGGGACCCAATTTTGAAAAGGCCTTGACTTTTAAGGTATTATGTTTGCCTTCTTGGCGCTTCCTCTTTAGTTGAATGATTGGTAGGCAAACAATTACAGAGTAAAGAAGTAATATTTAGCTCTTCCCAGGGAAATCAGGGAAGGCTTCCAGGAGGAGGTAAATATTTGATCCAAGACTGAGGGATGTGTACAAGATAGCTGGCAATCAGAAAGCATGACCGTGTAGTAGGCAGAGGACCTGGCATGTGTAAAAGCGAGGAGGCAGAAGAGACAGGACATTAGCCATGACCTTTCAGTAGTGCAGTGTTGCAAGAGGACACCTCTGCTGTGGTGTGGAGAAGAGGTGAGAAGCCAGGCCATGTATGCAGGAAGTGTGTCACAAAAGGCTTGGAAAGAAGATGATTTTATTCTGTAGGGGGCTAAAGAGCATTGAAAAATGCTTAGCAGGAAGGTGACAGACTTATGTCTGCTTTCAAAAGAAGCTCTGCTGTGAATGTGGAAAAGCAGAGAGCCTGGAGGCAGGAAGAGAGACAGGGAGAGGGCACAGGTACCTCAGGTGAGAGGCGACTCAGAGCCCCGCAGTGGGGATAGAGAGACGTGATTACAGGAGATGTTTTGGTGTTCACGTATGGGATGTAGCAGGAGAAGGAAGGGAATCTGCGCAGATTTCTGGTTTCATTGAGACACTTGAGAAGATGATGGTGTTGGTTATTCTGGTATAGAGAGTAGAGACAAAGTGGAGATGACCTAAATAGGGAGATTATTTGTGGGTTCAACACATTCATTTTTACAAATGCTCATTTTATGTTTCGTTTGTAGGGTTAGAGATTTAGAGTTTAGAATAAAATTACATAACTCAATTTCATTTTCAAAGTTCTGCAATCAAATAAGTATATCTAATATATGATTCTATATAAGTCTTGTTCATTCATAATGATGACCAGAAAGAAAGGAATAAATACATCATTTCTAACTTGGTGACTGCTGAAGACTTAAAAAAAAAGCTCACTCATGTTTCTGTCCTTCTCATGTGGCATTTTTAGGATCTGGTAATGATGCTCATGAACTAATTTGTTCCCTGACAGCATATGGCTGCCATCTAGGTGCTGCCACGGCGTTAATGCCGATGCGATTTAGGTCTCTGAGAAGATAACAAACCTAATTACTAATGCAAGGAGAGAGAACATCTTTCTCATTAATTCATTCCTAAAACCTTGCATTTAGTTTAATGTGATTGCTAATATGCAGTTTCAAGAATTAATATAAAAACCACCTGCATATGATGCTAATGGATTTTGCGAAGGTAGTAGGGTGATTTGTGAGATCAGGAGGTAACATGCAGGGGGTAAAAGAAACAGCTAGAACCACCTCAAAGTGTTTATGTCAGTCAGTCCTGTCGTTAATTGATGTCTGTAATCAGTTTGGTTCTATACAGGAAAATCACTATGAATTAAAACTAAGTCATTGCCACACCCTTCTTACACAGGATTTATTTCAATTTATAAAACGTGTCAAGTGCCTAGGACATACCAGGCATGTTTAAGGTGTTTGGGACACATCAAAGAACAAAAGAGACCAAAATCTTTGCATTTTTGATCTTCTAATTCACGGAGACAGACAATAGCCCAATAACTCAATAAATCCAATCTGTTAGAAGGTGTATGGACCAAAAAAAAAAAAAAAAAAAGAGTAAGCTGGGCAGGCAGACTGTCCTAATTAGACAAGTGGGCAGGGTAAACCTCACTGAGAAAATAAGATATAAGCAAATGCTGCAAGGAGCTGACTGAGTGAGCCTGTGGGAATCTGGGGTAGAAGTCTGCATGGCGGGGGTTCATGGAAGCTCTGTCAAACAGAAGGGAAGGAACGAAGATAATGCCAGCTTTTACCAGTGACCTCAGATACTCACTGCGCCTGAGAGGTTGTGGGGGCAGCTTTGCAGGGGTAATGATCTGGGTGTTTCTTCTTGCCTTCTGCCTCCACTTTCTACCACACAGTTGAATTCCATTGCTAGTGCCTGGCATTGGAGACTATTTTATGTCAATTTCCTGTCCTGTTTCAGGTTAGAGATGACAACAAGAGACAACACCCATGCCTGGTGGAGTTCTCCAAGCTGCCTGAACAGGAGCGCAATTACAACTTACAAATGTCGCTTGAGACCCTGAAGTGAGTTTCTTAACTTTTTCTATTTTCCAACCTGCCTTCCCTGAAAAAAAAAAAAAAAAAAAAAAAAACAGGTATTGATGCTATATGTTAATTGAGCTGTGAAGTGATTTTTAATTCCAGCTAGAACTTTTTATAATGCATAAGTGGATTGGATCAGTATTTGTTGAGAATAAGACTTTGACCCTGTTAATTTATGTCCTCTTGTTCTACATCAGTATTTTGCAAAGGGTGTCCTACAGGTGTATATGGGTATTATGGATGATGAGGATTTTGTGACCTGATAGGATACAGGTCCACAGAATGTGGGCTGTGGACCGGGACTGTGTCAGTCACAAATTGTTACTGGTTTGTGACTAAATAAGATATTAAGAGCAAGTGTTTATAAACTTCTATACCAATTTAGGGAAGCAATTTTACATATATTGAATCTAATGATTTAAGAAATGTGAGGTCATAGCCTGTATGTCTTCATTTTGAAAATTCAGTTTTCTCTAACAATTTTATTGTATTATATCAGGAAAAACCACAATAGACCAAATATTAAAAGAAAATTAGTTCTTCACCATAGGTAATTTGAGAAGCACTGATTTAATATATTTAAAAGATGCTAAATTCAAAGAGTTGAATAATTTAAAATTTTTTGCTGATGGACTTTTCAGAACTTTGGGGTGAAGTCTGTTTATGGTATTTCCTAAACTGATTTCACCATAGCAGCCTGTTTTCAGAGCATACCTATGAGGACTATTTATCTGAGCACCATATCTTTGGTTTTGTTTTAGTTTTTTAAGGAGCCAAAGTCAGCTGGGCATAGTGACTCGTGCTTATAATCCCAGCCCTTCGGAAGGCCAAGGCCAGTAGATGGCTTGAGCCCAGGAGTTTGAGACCATCCTGGGCTACATAGTGAGACCCCATGTCAACAAAAAATATGAAACTTATCTGGGCATAATGGCGCACACCTGAGTCCCAGCTACTTGGAGGCTGAGGTGGGAGGATGGATTGAGCCTGGGAGATTGAGGCTCCAGTGAGCTGTGATCACGCCACTGCACTCCAGCCTGGATGACAGAGCAGGACCCTGTCTCAAAAATGATAGTAATAAAAATAAATTTAAAAGGAGCCAGAGTCTTACTGTGTTGCCCAGGCTGGCGAGCAACGGCAATTCACAGGCTGGATCATGGCGCACTGCAGCCTGCAACTCCTGGGTTCAGGTGATTCTCTGGCCCAGTCTGGGTATCTAGGACTACAGGAGCTTGCCACTGCATCCAGCCTGAGCACATATTTTGAGAAAAGCTACTGTAGAGTATTTTATATCACCCAGTAAAGGCAAATTTGCTTTTTAGTGATTGCTGCCAGTTGACCTCTTGACTTTGCCCCTTACCTTTGCAGACGGAATAATGGGACTGAAATGGAATAAAGGAAGGAATATAATTTCGAATTTTGATATAGAAAAGTAAAGAGAATATTTTTGCAAAGCCAGTAACTTTACTCTTGTCCTCCTTCCATCCTTGATGTCCTACAGAACTGGATTTGTTCCAATAGGTCACTTATCCTAATATGTTTTTATATTACGTACAAAACTCTAGTCCTTTTTGTTTGTTTCAGTTTTGTTAAGAGTAGTAAGGAGTTATTTCCACTGAAATTATTTTACCAGGGACCCGGAACATAAAATTTAAACCGCATTTCAAATTCTAGAATTTGGACTCGGGTATATAGTCATGAGCTGCCTAACAGTGTTTGACTCAATGATGGACTGCATATATGATGGTGGCCATGAGATTATAATGGAGCTGAAAAATTCCTATAACTTATGACATCACAGTTGTCATAACATCCTAGTGCAACGCACTACCTTTTCTATATTTAGATACCCAAATACTTACCATTGTGTTACAGTTGTCTACAGTATTTGGTGAAGTAACATGTACAAGTTTGTAGCCTAGCAGCAATAGGCTATATCGTATAGCTTAGGTGTGTAGTAGGCTCTACGATCTAGGTTTGTACGAATATACTCTATAATGTTCACATAATGATGAAAACACCTAAAGACCCATTTCTCAGAGTATATCCCCATTGTTAAGTGATGTATAACTCTATATCCTCAAGGATGCAGATTATCATGTAAATAAACACATTAGGCATAAGATTGAGCTTAGGGTCTACTAGGAACTTAAAAGAAAAAGCAATATATACACATCAAGTAAATTGAGAACCTAAAGGTTAAAAATGACAAGGTTTGCTTGTAATAAAGAATGCATAACGAGCCCTGTGTCCTGAGTACGTGGATTCAGCATCTCTGATCTTCCTTTGCGCTCTTGACATGAGGCTTGTATATTTAGCTTAGTAATTCATAGCAGCTCATTATTTCTTCATCTTTTACAACAGAATGTTTTATTGAAAGGTCAAGGTCTAACATAATTTAAATTTGCAGTGCATTCCCTATTATTTTAGCAATTGACAGCTAAGCCAGCTATAGCAGAGAGTAAATTCTGGACTGTAGAAATCTCTGTATTTGCATTTAGCATGTTGTGCCTTTGACTATTACATGTAATCCAGTGTCATACCTACCAGCTGCTGGTGGCTGATTTGGTTAATCTTCAGACTGCACGTACTGTGGTTTTATTCTCTCTGATGAATGTAAATCACCCTCTTCACAAGCAAATGCTTAACATTTCTTTGTTGATTTTCTTATAGCTAGTTTATATGGTTTTATGATGGACTGATTTTTATTTATTTATTTACAAATTGAATTAGGGGAAAACATCTGTACTTCTCTAAGATTCATACCATGCCCAATTCCAAGGGTTTAGAGAAAGTACAGTACTTTCTTCCTATATTTCCTTTATTCACTTATTTAATTGGCAGGCCCCAGAGCAGCGTAGCTAAGAACACAGACTCTGGAGTTGGGTCATCTGGACTTAAGGGCTTGGTCCACCGAGGAAATGTTGCTGGAGTCACTCAACTCCTCTGAACCCTAGGTTTTCTTCTCCTTAGTAGAATGAGGATCATAATGTATTTGCTTCATGGAATTATTATAGGGACTAACTAATAGGATATTGATAAAGGCTTTAACACCATATGTCTGAGAGGGAGCATAGTCTAGGTTTTTTGTTTGTTTAATAAATATATCATGGGAGGGATGAACAGCTTCATTTGTTTACATCTTTAGAAGTTCCAAGTAACAAATAAGCAAGAAATTATTCCAGAATATCCCTTATTTTGGGTTGAGGAGCAATTTAATGAAATATGAATTTTGGGTGCTGTTTCTGTGATTTTTTTCTTATGTAAATTGTTGACAGTGACAACTTACTTTAGACTTCCATCGTCATCTGTGTATCGTACGGTACTGCGAAATTGTGACACTCTCAGAACAGCACAGCTTGGCAGATCATGCCTGCCAGATGACCCTCAAATGTGACCAGTGTTACCAAAGGTTCAGTTTCTGGTTTAGTTTTTACTATTTTCCGAATTCCAGATCTTAATTTCTGAATAAACAGCTCACGTTTTAGAAATAATTGATATAAGGATTTTTAATCGACATGTAATACACATTCATAGAATTTATTTCTTTGGAAGTTAACAAAAATATAGTGACACTACAATGATATTTTTCCTCCTAGCCAAGTATTTTTCCTGAAAATTATTTTTAGATGATGTAGTGTGCTTGTGCACGTATGTGGTGAAGGATGGGAGGAATAGTAGGGACCCAGGACACAGGGATGGAGAGGAAAGCAGTATGGAAGGGAGACAAATAACTGATAAGGGGAGAGGTGGAATTTTTGTCCAAGAGAGCAAGTTAGTTTCTCATACCTCTTTTCCTCCTCCTCCTCCCCCTCCCTCCCCTCCCTCCATCACCCACCCCTTCCCTCCCCTTCCCCTCCCTTTTTTTCCTTCCTTCCTTCCTTCCTTCCCTCCCCTCCTTCTCCTTCTTCTCTTCCTCCTTCTTTCTCCTTCCCCTTCTTCCTCTTCTTCTCCTCCTCCTTCCTCTTCTCCTTCCCCTACTTCCTCTTCTCCTCCTTCTCCTCCTCCTCCCTCTTCTCTTCCTCCCTCTTCTCCTCCTCCCTCTTCTTCTCTTCTCTCTTCTTTTCCTTCCTCTTCTCCTCCTCCCTCTTCTCCTTCTCCCTCTTCTCCCTCTCCCTCTTCTCCTTCTTCCTCTTCTCCTTGCTCTTCTCCTTCTCGCTCTTCTCCTTCTTCTCCTCCCTCTTCTTTTTTCTCTTCTTCTTCTTCTCTTTATCTTTCTCCTCCTTTTTCTGTCTCTTCCTCCTCCTCCTCCTCTTCTTTTTTCTCTTTGGTTTCTTGCTGGCAACAATCTTCCCAACTTACTTACTTATTTATTTGTTTGTTTGAAGGAGTCTCGCTCTGTTGCCTAGGCTGGAGTGCAGTTACGCGATCTCAGCTCACTGCAACCTCTGCCTCCCAGATTCAAGTGATTCTCCTGCCTCAGCCTCCCGAGTAGCTGGGATTACAGGCACCTGCCACCACCTCTGGTTAATTTTTCTTTCGTATTTTTTTTTGTAGAGATGGGGTTTCGCCATCTTGGCCAGGCTGGTCTCAAACCCCTGGCCTCAGGTGATCCACCCGCCTCAGCCTCTCAGAATGCTGGGATTGCAGGCGTGAGCCACTGTGCCTGGCCAATCTTCCCAAGTTCTAAATGTTGTGAATCTTTATGTTCAGTCCTGGGCCATTTCTTCTCAGTGTGCAAGCTCTCTGAAGGTATTCTCACCACTCCACTCCGTGACTTAATTACCACACAGGTGCTGATACCTCCCCAAATATCCATCTCTACCCCAGACATCTGCTCTGAGTGACGGAATTGTTTGTCCTATCATTCCATTGACATTTTCCCCTGGATGCATCAGAAGTGACCTAGACCTATATAGCTTTATGTCCCCTGTATTTGCATTTAGGGTGTTGAGTCTTTCAACATGCCAGGCTATTCATCCTGCTACACATGCCAGGAACCTGGGAATCACCTTTGACTCTTCCCTTTGTTTCATTCCTACTTCTAGCCCATTATCAGGTCCCCCCAAGTATACGTCACTCTTCCTCCATCCTGCCTTTCCACAGCAGTCAGTCTGGTCCAAGCCACCATCATCTGTCACCCAGACTACCATAGCCATCTCCTAACTGGTCCTCCCACTTGCCGTCTTTATTCTGCACACAGCAGCCTGAGTTCATACACACACGTGCATTCATTCATATTTTGCTTAAAACTGTTCAATGGCTTCCCATGGAACTTGGAGTCTGATATCTTCACAAGTGTGTGCATGGCCCAGACAATCTGACACCCCTCCTGTTTGTCATCATGCCTTGCACCACTCTTTGCCTTGTTCCTTATGTTCCAGCCCTCATGGTCTCTTCCTGATAATGAGTTAAACTTTTTCCTGCCTCACTATTCTGTTCCCTTTGCCTGGAAAATTCTTCATTTCACCCTTAAAGGATCTCCTCCCTACTCATCCCTCAGGCCTTCATTTAAATATCACTTCCCTGATAAGAATTTCCTCACCACTTCCTTCACTTCCTTTATAACACCTGATAGTGTGTTTATAACTCACCACAATTTGTAATATCACTTTCTGAGGTTATTTAATATTTGCCTTTCCTTCTAGACCAGGGGTGTCCAATCTTTTTGCTTCCCTGGGCCACATTGGAAGAATTATCTTGGGCCACACACAAAATACACTAACACTAATGATAGCTGATGAACTAAAACACAAATCACAAAAAGATCTCATAATGTTTTAGGAAAGTTTATGAATTTGTGTTGGGCCACATTCAAAGCCATCCTGGGCTGTGGGCTGGAAAAGCTTGTTCTAGACTGTAAGCTCCATGAAGCCAGGAACTATAATTAAAAAAAAAAAAGGTTTTATTTTTTAGAGCAGATTTAGGTTCTCAGCAAAGTTAAAAGAAAGATACAGAGACTTTTCTTATGCCCCCTGTTTCCACAGGCAACTGCCCTCAACAGAGTGGTACATTTATAACAATTGATAAACCTACATTGACACATCATTATCACCCAAAGTCCACAGCATGATTTTTTTTTTAAATTCACAATCATGTACCTAGTCCTCAAAAGGTATCCAGCGCATAACATTCTCAGATGCCAACTTGCTTAGATATTGCAAATGTACCTCAAACTTTGTGACTTTTTTATACCTTCAAATCTCAGGCTCCTTTCAGTGTCCTTCTCTTGTTGTGTTAAGTGCCCCTCAGAACACAACTCAGATATCTGGGAGTCATCCTGGACACATCCCTTCCCTTCACCCATGGCTTTCTATTGATATGTTAATCTATCGACTTCTTTATTTTCTTCCATTATTAATGTTACTATCACCACATCATCAACTCCAACATGATTGCCACCCTATGCTAACCTAGTCTAAGCTACCATTGTTTCCCACCTGAAATTATAATATCCTCCCAACAGATCCAATTGAAATACACCCTAGATACTCTCTTTTCTATTGTTTTTTTTTGCCTTTTTAAAAATTGTACAAATTTACAGGGTACATGTGCAATTTTGTTACATGCATAAAGTAACAAAAGTCAAGACTTTGAGGGTATCCATCACCCAGTTAATGTATATTGCACCCATTACGTAATTTCTCATCATCTACTCCCTTCCAATCCCCTCACTCTTCCAAGTCTCCATGAATTGTCATTCTACTCTCTATGTCCATGTGTGCACATTTTTTTAACACCCACTTGTGAATGAGAACATGGGTATTTGCCTTTCTGGGTCTAGCTTATTTCAGTTAAAATAATGACCCCAGTTCTAATCATGTTGCTACAAAATACATGATTTCATTCTTCTTTACTGCTGAATAATAGTCCATTATGTATATATGCCACATTTTCTTTATCCATTCATCCATTGATGGACACTTAGGTTCCTTCCATTTCTTTGCTGATGTGAATAGTGCCGCAATAAACATGCAAGTGCAGATGTCTTTTTGATATATGGATTTCTTTTCCTTCGGGTAGATATCCAATAGTAGGATTACTGGATCGAATGGTAGTTTTATTTTTAGTTCCTTGACAAGTTTCTATACTATTTTTTCATAGAGGCTGTACTAATTTACATTCCCACCAACAGTGCATAAGAGTTCCCTTTTCTCTGCATCCTCGCCAACATCTGTTTTTTTGTTTGTTTGTTTGCATTTTTAAGAATAGCCATTCTGACTGGTGTAGGATGACATCCCACCTGGGTTTTAGTTTGCATTTCTCTGATGATTAGTGATGTTCAGCATTTTCTCATATACCTGTTAGCCATTTGTATGTCTTATTTTGAAAAATGTCTATTCATTTCCTTTGCCCAGTTTTTAAGGAGACTATTTGATGCTTTTCTTGTTGTTGAATTGTTTGTTTCTTGCATATTCTGGATGAATGAGTAGTTTGATGTCAGATGAATTCTTTGCAAATATTTTCTTGCATTCTGCAGGTAGTCTCTTCACTCTGTTGATTCTTTCTCTCACTGTGCAGAAGCTTATTAGTTTAAATAGGTCTTGTTTGTCTATTTTTGTTTTTGTTGCCTGGGTTTTTGACGTCTTAGTCATAAATTCTTTGCCTAGACAAATGTTCAGAAGAGTTTTCCCTAGATTTTCTTCTAGTATTTTTATAATTTTGAGTCTTTTGTTTAAGTCTTAACCCATCTTGAGTTGATTTTTGTACATGGTGAGAGATAGGGGACCAGTTTTACTCTTCTGCATATGGCCATCCAGTTTTCCCAGCAACATGTATTGAAGAGTGTATCCTTTCTCCAATGTATGCTCTTGTTGGCTTTGTGAAAGCCAACAAATATGGCTGTAAGTATGTAGCTTTATTTCTGGGTTCTCTATTCTGTTCCATTGATCTATTCATCTGTTTTTCTACCAGTACCATGCTGTGTTGGTTACTATAGCCTTATAATAGAATTTGAAGTCAGGTAATATGATGCCTCCTTTTATTTACCCCTCAGGATTGCTTTGGCTATTTGGACTCTTTCTTGTTCCATTTGAATTTTAGGATTGTTTTTCCCTAATTCTGTGAAAAATGACATTGGCATTTTGATATGAGTTGCATTGAATTTATGGATTGCTTTGGGCAATATTGTCATTTTAACAATACTGATTCTTCAGATTTTTGATCATGGGCTGTTTTTGTGTTTGTTTGCATCATCTATAATTTCTTTCATCATTGTTTTATAGTTTCTCTTGTACAGATCTTGTACACCTCCTTGGTTAAATATATTTTAATTAGGTATTTTAGGTATTTCAATGAGGTATTTTAATTTTTATGTGGATATTGTAAATAGGATTGCCTCCTTGATTTGTTTCTTAGTTAGATTGTTACTGGTCTATAGATATGCTACCAATTTTTGTACATTGATTTTACATGCTGCAACTTTACTGAATTCCATTTATCAAATAAGAGTTTTTTGTGGCATCTTTAGGTTTTCCTTGACATAAGATCAAATTGTCAGCAAACAAGGATAATTAGACTTCATTTTTTCCAGTTTAGATGCCATTTATTTCTTTCCATTGCCTAATTTCTCTCACTAGGCCTTTCAGTACTGTAATGAATAGGAGTGGTAAAAGTAAATATCCTTGTTTTGTTCCAGTTCTTACAGGGAAAGTTTTCAACTTTCCCCATTCAGCATAATGTTAGCTGTGAGATTGTTGTATATGGCCTTTATTATTTTGAGGTATGCTCCTTCTATCCCTTGTTTATGGAGAGTTCTTATTATGAAGCGATGCTGAATTTTATCAAATGCTTTTTCTGCACCTATTGAGATGCTCATATGGTATTTGTTGTTGGTTCAGTTTTTGCGACGTATCACATTTATTGATTTGCAGATGTTGAACCATCCTTGTGTCCCTGATAAAAACCCACTTAACTCCTGAAAACATGCAGCCTCCCTCCCAAGACTGAACCAGGAAGAAATTGAAAACCTGAACAGAGCAATAACAAGTAGCAAGACTGAATCAGTGGCCAGGTGCGGTGGCTCATGCCTGTAATCCCAGCACTTTGGGAGGCCAAGGTGGGTGGATCACTTGAGGTCAGGAGTTCCAGACCAGCCTGGCCAACATGGTGAAACCCCAACTTTATTAAAAATACAAAAATTAGCTGGGTGTGATGGTGCACACCAGTAATCCCAGCTACTCAAGGAGGCTGAGGCAGGAGAATTGCTTTAACCTGGGAGACAGAGTTTGCCATAAGCCGGGATTGTGCCACTGCACTCTAGCCTAGGTGACAGAGTGAGACTCTGTCTCCAAAAAAAAGGATTGAATCAGTAATAAAAATTGTCCCAACAATGAAAAGCCCAGGATCAGATGGATTTACAGATGAATTATACCTAACATACATAGAACTAATATCAATCCTCCTGAAACTGTTTCAAAAAGTCAAGGAGCAGGAAATTCTCCCTAACCGCTCTATGAAGCCAGTATCACCCTGGTACCAAAACCAGACAAAGGCACAACAAAAAAGAAAACTACAGACCAATATCCCTGATTAACATAGACACAACAGTCCTCAACAAAAATACCAGCAAACAAAATGCAATAGCACCTCTAGCTATTCTGTACTTTGTAGCCAGTGTGTTCATTTCAAACATTAAGGTGACCATGTCAATCTTTCTATTTAAAATCCCTTAATGGGGCCAGGCACGGTGGGTCACCTGAGGTCAGGTGAGCCTGTAATCTCAGCACTTTGGGAGGCCAAGGCAGGTGGATCATCTGAGGTCAGGAGTTCAAGAGCAGCCTGGCCAACATGGTGAAACCCTGTCTCTACTAAAATTATAAAAATTAGCCAAGCGTCATGGCAGGTGCCTGTAATCCCAGCTGCTCGGGAGGCTGAGGCAGGAGAATTGCTTGAACCCAGGAGGCAGAGGTTGCAGCGAGCCGAGATCATGCTGCTGCACTCCAGCCTGGGTGACAGAGCGAGACTCCATCTCAAAAAGAAAAAAAAAATTAAATACATAAAAAAAAATAAAATCCATTAATGGCTTTTCATTGCTTTTAAGTTAAATATGGTGCTTTAATTTGCCAAAGTATCCCAAAATCTGGGGCCTCCCCTCTCACCAGCCTCATTATAAGTGAGGCTGCCCTTGTACTCTTGCTTGCAGTCACACTGACCTTTGTGTTGCTTGCCTGTCCACACATTCCATTCCACCACAAGATCTTCCACACGTCCTCTTCTTGGAATGCTCTTTTCTTTTTTTATTATACTTTAAGTTTTAGGGTACATGTGTACAACGTGCAGGTTAAATATGTATACATGTGCCATGTTGGTGTGCTGCACCCATTAACTCGTCATTTAACATTAGCTATATCTCCTAATGCTATCCCTCCCCGCTCCCCCTACCCCACAACAGGCCCCAGGGTGTGATGTGGAATGCTGTTTTCTATGCCTGGCTCTCATCCTTTGGATCAGGGCTGTCCAATCTTCTGGCTTCCCTGGGCCATAGCAGAAAAAGAATTGTCTTGGGCCACACATAAAATACACTATAATACTAACAATAGCTGATGAGCTAAATTTTAAAAATCACACAAAGAAATCTCATAATATTTTAAGAAAGTTTATGAATTTGTGTTGGGCCACATTCAAAGAGCTGTCCTAGGCCGCATGTAGCCCGCAGGCTGCGTGTTGGACAAGCTTGCCAGATCTAAGGTCAGGTTCACTTCTTTCGAACATGTTGTCTGAGTTCCTTGACTCAACAATTTTACTTCTATAGGTACTCATCCTTTCTGTACTCCCAGTATAGAAGCTTTCCCTGTGTGTGGGAATTACATGGTTGCCTCTGTACTCCACCGACCATATGTTTCATGACAGCAGGCATCTCACTTGATTTTTGTTACCATTTTTCAAATTTTACTTAGAGCTCAGTAAATATTCATCAAATGAATGAATTAATAAATAAATGATAAATCTCAGTCAGTAACTGGGTTTTTACATACCAAATGCCTACCTACAGGGTGCCTCACATTTGCTTCCTAACAGTCTGTTTACTTTTCTGCAGCTATATAGTTTAAGTACTAAAATGCTACATTACCAATCCCTACTGCTTAATCTAGTAGTAAATATTTACTGAATGCATGTAAGGCCAAGAACCTGCTCCCAACTAATCCTTTCTTGCTTCCCTTATTTTGTGCTTTTCTAGCCTTTCTATCAGCTTTGCAGTTCCAACTTATAGTGTGCTGTTTCTCTCACCACCCTTCAGCAGACTTAAAAAAAAAATGAGTTAAACAATGTTAAATCATCAAATAAAGTGGTTCAATAAAGATGATACAGAAACCAAACACTTCATTCAAACAAAGAACTTGATATGGTTGTAGTGTTAATAAATATATTTTAAATATAATCCATTGCTCCCATTTTAAAACCTCCTAGGATTGGGCAAAGAGTACTTAGATACAATATCCAAAACATGACCTATTAAAGAAAACAGTCCATCCATTGGAGTTAATTAAAAGTAAAACTTTCTGTACTTCAAAAGAAGCCATTAAGAAAATGAAGAGACAGGCCACCAGCTGGGAGAGAATATTTGTGAATCAAGCACAATTGTATTAATAGGATTTGTAGTAAATCATACCAATCCTAACAAAGGACTTGTATCCAGAATATATATAGAAATCTTATAACTCAATAATAAGAATACACAAAACCTGATTTAAAAATTGGCAAAACAGCTGGGCATGGTGGCTCACGCCTATAATTCCAGCACTTTGGGAGGCTGAGTTGGGTGGCTCACTTGAGGTCTGAAGTTAGAAACCAGCCTGGCCAACATGGTGAAACTCCATCTCTACTAAAAATACAAAAAAAGTAGCTGCACGTGGTGGCAGGCGCCTGTAATCCCAGCTACTAGGGAGACTGAGGCAGGAGAATTGCTTGAACCTGGGAGGAAGTGGTTGCCGTGAGCCGAGATTATGCCACTGTCCTCCTGCCTGGGTGGCAGAGCAAGATTCTGTCTCAAAAAAAAAAAAGGCAAAAATTGGCAAAATACTTTACCAAAGAAGATACACAGATGGCTAATAAAGTGCAATCAAGGATGTTACACATCATCAGTCAGAAAAATACAAATTAAAACCATAAGAAGATACTACCTTACACACAATAAAATGGCTATAATTTTTGACAGACATACCAAGTGTTGGTGAAGCTATAGGAAAACTGAAACCCACATGTATTACTGCAGGCAATGTAAAATGGTGCCACCACTTTGGAAAATAGTTTGGAAGTTTCTTAAAAAGTTAAACATAAACTTACCATAGCCTAGCAATTCTACTCCTATGTATCTACTCAAGAGAAATAAAAGCTTATGTCCCTGCAAAGATTTACACGTAAATGTTCACAGAAGCATTATTCATAAGAGCCAAAAACTGGAAACTGTGCAAATGTTCATCAACTAAGGAATAGATAAAATGTGATCCAGTATTACAATGGCATATTATTCAGCAATAAAAGGAAACAAACTACTGCCACAGACTCCAACATGGATCAACCTGAAAAACTTTATGCCAGGTGGAAGGAGCCAAACACAGAAGACTCCATATTGTGTAATTCTATTCCTATGAAATGCCCAAAACAGGCATATTGATAGAGACATAAAGTAGCTTAGGGGCTGTCTGGAGGTGAGAGTGAGAAACGCCTGCAGCAGGCATGGGGGACCTCATGGGCTCGTGGAAATGGTGCAAAGCTAGATTGTGCTGATAGTCATGCAACTCTATAAATTTAATAAAAATGAAAATAATCAGCCTCTAAAAAGTACATTTTCTACCTGATGACTTCTAACTTTGCTATTCTGCAGAATAACCTTTAGCAGCTCCTAGTCCATTCACATAAGTGTAATTCCCTCAGCATAGCATATGAGGCCCTCACTTAATGTCTTAATCAGGGTTCTTGAGATAAACAGAACCAACAGGGTGTATGTATGTGTGTGTGTGTATATATACATATATATATAGACATATATGTATATACAGATATATATAGAGAGAGATTCCTTAAAGAATTGGCAGGGTGCTGGCAAAATTCCCTTTTGCTCAGAAGGTCAGTCTCTTTTTTCTGTTGAGACCTTTCACTGATTAGTTGAGGCCCAGTCACATTATGGAAGGTAGTCTGATTTACTTAAAGTGCACTATACTTTTTTAAAAAGTTTAGTATTTAATTTTAGAATCAGAGGGTACATGTGCGTGTTTGTAACATAGGTATATTGCTATGTACAGAGATACATAGGAATTTACCTATGTGCGTTGTTACATAGGTATAATGGTGGGAATTTAGATTCTAATGAACCCATTACCTAAATAGTCAACATTGTACTTGACAGGTAATTTTTCAACACTAGCTCCCCTCCTGCTCTCCTTGCTTTGAAGTCCCTACTATCTATTATTTCTGTCTTTATATCTGTGTGTATCCACTTTGCTTGGCCCCCACTTACAAGTGAGAGTATGAAGTATTTAATTTTCTTTTAAATGATGAGGATAATGGCCTCCAACTTTATCCATGTTGCTGCAAGAAGGACATGATTTCATTCTTTTTCGTGGCTGTATAGTTTTCCATGGTGTATATGTACCATATTTTCTTTTTGCAGTCAACAGTTGACAGACACTTAAGTTGATTCCGTGACTTTGCTATTGTAAATAGTGCCGCAATGAACATGTGAGTGCAGGTGTTTTTTTTGTTTGTTTGTTTTTTGTTTTTTTGACAGAGTCTTGCTCTGTTGCCTAGGTTGGAGTGCAGTGGCATGATCTCGGCTGACTGAAACTTCTGCTTCCCAGGTTCAAGCAATTCTCCTGCCACAGCCTCCCAAGTAGCTGGGATTACAGGTGTCCACCACCACGCCTGGCTAATTTTTGTAGTTTTAGTAGAGACGGGGTTTCACCATGTTGTTCAGGCTGGTCTCAAACGCGTGACCTGATAATGATTTCTTGGACAGATGCGGTGGCTCACTCCTGTAATCCCAGCACTGTGGGAGGCCAAGGCCGGTGAATCACCTGAGGTCAGATGTTTGAGACCAGCCTGGCCAACATGGTGCAAACCCATCTCTACTAAAAATACAAAAATTAGCTGGGTATGGTGGTGAGCACCTGTAACCTCAGCTACTTTGGAGACTGGGGCAGTAGAATTGCTTGAACCCGGGAGGCGGAGGTTGCAGTGAGCCGAGATTGCACCATTGCACTCCAGCCTGGGTGACAAGAGCAAAACTCCTCAAAAAAAAAAAATAATAATAATAAATATAATGATTTCTTTTCCTTTGGGTAGGTATCCAGTTGTGGGATTGCAGGGCTGAATGGTAGTTCTATTTTTAGTTTTTGGAGAAATATTCATGCTGTTTCCCAAAGGGGTTGAACTAATTTATGTTCCTACTAACAGTGTATAAGCTACATCCTCACCCACATCTTTTATTTTTTGACTTTTTAATAATAACCATTCTGACTGGTGTGAGATGGTATCTCATTGTGGTTTTAGTTTACATTTTTCTGATGATTGGTAATTCAGATCATTTTTTAATGTGTTTATTTGGCTGCTTGTATTTCCTCTTTTGAGAAATGTCTATTTATGTCCTTTTTTCTTTCTTTTCTTTTCTTTTTTTTTTCAGGACCAGAGTCTCACTCTGTAGCCCAGGCTGGAGTGCAGTGGTGGATCATAGGTCACTGCAGCCTTGATTTCCGAGACTCAGGCAAAATTTCTGCCTCAGCCTTTAGAGTAGCTGGGGCCACAGATGTGTGCCACCATGCCTGATTAAACTTTGAATTATGTGTAGAGACAGAGTCTCCCTATGTTACCCAGACTGGTCTTGAACTCCTGGGCTCAAGCAGTCCTCCTGCCTCGGCCTCCCAAAGTACTGGAATTATAGGCATGAACCACCATGCCTGACCCTTTGGCCGGTTTTTAATACAGTTGTTTGTTTTTTTCCTGTTGAGTTGTTTAAGTTCTGTGTGGATTCTGGATATTAGTCCTTCATTGGGGGCATAATTTGAAGATACTTTCTCCCATTCTGTAGGTTGTCTATTTACTCTGTAGATTATTTTGCTGTGCAGATGCTTTTTAGTTTGATTAAGTCCCATTTGTCTATTTTTGTTTTTGATGCATTTGCTTCTGGGATCTTTATCATAAACTCTACCTAGGCCAATGTCCAGAAGAGTTTTTTCTAGGTTTTCTTCTAGGTCTTACATTTATATCTTTAATCCATCTTGAGTTAATTTTTGTACATGGTGAGAGATAGAGGTGCAATTTCATTCTTCCGCATATGGCTAGCCATTTTTTCCAGCACCATTTATTGAAGAGGTTGTCATTTCTCCAGTGTTTATTTTTGTTAACTTTGTCAAAGATCAGTTGGTTGTAGGTATGTGGCTTTATTTTTGGGTTCTGTATTCCATTCCATTGATCTATGTGTCTAATTTTGTACCATTACCATGCTGTTATAGTTACTATATCCTTATATATAAGTCAGGCAATGTGATGCCTCTGGATTTGTTCATTTTGCTTAGGATTGCCTTGGCTATTCGGACTCTTTTTTGATTCCATGTGAACTCAAAGTGTAGCAATTTAAATGTTAATCTCACCCAAAAACAGCTTCACAGAAACATCTGGAATAATGTTTGACTAAATGTGTTGGCACTATGCCCCAGCCAAGTTGATACATAAAATTAGCCATCACACATAATGAGAAATATTTATGAAGCATATAGTGCACCCCAAACTTACCCCAGTATTTCTTTTTACCCTTAACCTATAGTACACGGTCAGATCTTAATACTCCAGTCAACCCTTCTCTGCCCCTCCCACACAGACCCACGATCTCCTGCTTCTGTAGGTTGTCTGTCTTATTCACCTACCTGAAATATTTGCCTCTTCATCTCTTTATCCTTTATTCCCACATGTCTTCATCTTTGAAATGTTTAATTATCCTTCTTGGAATATCTTAAAGATGCTTCTAAAACATGTAACTTTTTAAAATGTGGAACCCTACTTGGTTTTATTATAATTCTTCAGTCATCATCTTTTCTCCTATCAGACTGTAAACGCTGTCAAGAGAAACATGTGCAGTAGTACTCCTGAAAATATCAAATGGAAAACTTTAGAAATAAACAATGTATAAGTTTTAGATTGCATGCCATTTTGAGCAGTGTGATGAAATCTCACGCCCTGCTACTTTGTCCTGCCCAGGATGCGAATCATCGCTTTGTCCCCCTGGCCCATGCTGTATAGGCTGCCTACCTGTTAGTCACTTAGCAACCATCTTGGTTATCAGCTTGATTGTCATGACACTGTAGTGCTTTTGTTCAAGTAACCCTTATTTTATTTAATAATGGCCCCAATGCACAAAATTAAAGATGCTGGCAATTTGAATATGTCAAAGAGAAGCCATAAAGTGCTTCTTTTAAGTGAAAAGGTGAATATTCTCAACTTAATAAGGGAAGAAAAATACTGTATACTGAAGTTGCTAAGATCTATAAAAACAACAATTCTTCTGTCTGTGAAATTGTGAGCAGTATGTTGTTATAATAGTTCTATTTTCTATTAGTTACTAGTTTTAATCCCTTACTGTGTCTAATTCATATGTTAAATTTTAGTATGTATCATAGTATGTATGGATAGGAAAAAGTATAGGGTTTGGTACTATCTGTGGGGTTCAGGCATCCACTGGGAGTCCTGGAACATATCAGCCATGGATAAGGGAGGACTACTGTACTACAGAGTACCTTAGATATGGTGGTAACTCAATAAATATTTATGGACTTATATATTTATGCACATGTGGTCTATTATGTTCACTGTCCGTGTGAGTTGAATTCATACTTTTCTAGGTAGTTTGCATTGGGAAGAAGATTATGAGGCTGAATTAATTAGTTATGAGAAGATTATAGTATTGATGGCATAAAACACTGGCTCTCTCTCAGAAGCCCTTAAGGATGAATTAACTAATTACATTTTCTATGGCTCAGGCTTACTTTTGATGTCAGTACACCATGTGACTTTGTCTCTCGGTCTGGACTCACATTAACTACATTCCTGGCATGTCACACTGAGGTACTGATTTGCAGTGATAATAACTGTCTTATAATCCAAAATATTCATTTTTACAGATCAGCTTGGGAAGACACATTATCATCAGAAGATTTCTTGGTGGGCATGTGCTCAAAGGTTTAATTGCCTGAGTTTATGGTAAATCCTAATATTATGATCAATCTTGAGTTCTCTCAGAGCTGGGTTGGACATCCCTCTTTGATACTTTTACAGCCTTGTGATTACCTCATTGCCCTGAAGATACTATCATAATTGCCTGTTGTCTGTAGCACAGGGCCTTGCACATGATAGCACTCAGTAGATATTTACTGAATGAATAAATAAAGGAATGGAGGGTGCTGGTAAAATCTTCCTGTCCTCTGGATAGTGTCTGAATAAGTGTAATCTATATTTGTTCCTGTGAGTTCGTTTTTTATTTTATTGCTGATCAATCCCTTTCAACGTGCACATTCTTTATTCAGCTTATTTTGTACCTTCAATCAGCTCTTGGTCTTCCCATAGTTTTGCAATTTAACGCTAGAAAGATAATTTCATGGGGTTATTTTAATTTTTTCATATATAACAAAATTTAACTGATAATTGTGTGTGTATAGATGGATAGATACCCATATGTATAAGCTTATATGTATCTGTCTAAATGGTTAAGCTTATACATATAGATACTTGTCTATATGGAAATACATATATATAATGTACGTATATGTATATACATATAACCATCAACCTATCCACACATTATTAAAATATTATAGAGATAAGTATTATGGGTTTTAGATAATTCCCACATTCTTACTAGAACTGATCAGACCTTAGAAATTCTGTAATCCCAAAATATTATGCCGTTATTTCTTACTCTATCAAGGCAGGAGAAACCACTCAGTGCCGTGGGTACTAAAGACAAATTGTCTCAAAATGTCTCCTGTATATACGCATTTCTATAAAAGGTAAAACAATAATATCATACACACACACACACACACACACACACACACACACACACCACGTATATCTGCTTTAGTAGGTACATAGACTCCCCAGCAGGATATCGAAGAATTGTTAACAATTGATGCCTTTAGAGGAAGGAAACAGAATTAGAAGAAGTTGGAGGGAGACTTACTTTTCAGTGTATTCCTTTTTGTGCCATTTCAGTTCGCAGTGTCTTATCCCTTACTCAGAAATGAATAATTAGCAAATCAGTAAATGTTCCTTTCACCTTAAAAACAAGACTTCTGACTGGGCGCGGTGGCTCACACCTGTAATCCCAGCACTTTGGGAGGCCGAGATGGGTGGATCACGAGGTCAGGAGATCGAGACCATCCTGGCTAACACGGTGAAACCCCGTCTCTACTAAAAATACAAAAAATTAGCCGGGTGTGGTGGCGGGCACCTGTAGTCCTGGCTACTTGGGAGGTTGAGGCAGGAGAATGGCGTGAATCCGGGAGGCGGAGCTTGCAGTGAGCCGAGATCGCGCCACTGCACTCCAGCCTGGGCGACAGAGCGAGACTCCGTCTCAAAAAAAAAAAAAAATTGTGCTTTCAAGGTTGTATCTCATTGCTACTGCTGCTGTCTTGGGTTATTCTGGACATAGAGAAGAAATGATCACACTTATCTCTGGTTTTGTTTTCCAGGACTTTGTTGGCATTAGGATGTCATGTGGGTATATCAGATGAACATGCTGAAGACAAGGTGAAAAAAATGAAGCTACCCAAGAAGTAAGTTGAATGACTAAGCAATATTAAATAATCTGTGTAGAGATTTAGTGCAACCAAATAACTCTTGATGGACACACAGATGCCTTGCTTTTACTGAAGCTTTAAAATTCAGATTCAAGGCTGGGTGCGGTGGCTCACACCTTAATCCCAGCACTTTGGGAGGCCAAGGCAGGTGGATCACCTGAGGTCAGGAGTTCAAGACCAGCCTGGCCAACATGGTGAAACCCTGTCTCCATTAAAAATACAAAAATTAGCTGGGCGTGGTGGCAAGTGCCTGTAATCCCAGCTACTCGGGAGGCTGAGACAGGAGAATCGCTTGAACTTGGGAGGCAGAGGCTGCAGTGAGTCAAGATCGTGCCACTGCACTCCAGCCTGGGCAACAGAGTGAGACTCCATCTCAAAAAAAAAAAAATTCAGATTCAAAAATTTAAACTAACTGAATGACCCTAGGGGTTACATTAAGTATCTGGTGAAACAATAGTTTCTATCACATTGCTGAGTGATGAAACAAAGCTCAGAATATATTTGGGAGTGTGTTATAAAAATTGTGTTATTTTCCCAGTGTGTGTTTATATGTTAACAGAGGTATCCATATTTCTAAATGATTACATATAGCTTTCTACTTTCTGCCCAAAAATCTTTATAATTTTATTTACTTTTACAATAAAAATATATTCGAGGATTAATTATGAAGTCAGCATTATTATCCACATTTTAAGATGAGAAAATTGAGGTAGATAGATGCTGTAGTACTGGTTTGGCCTGCTGTTCTATGACCTATGTTTGTGATCCTGGTTCACTTAAGACCTCACCTTTCTCATCTGCCTGTGGGCATTAGTAATACCTACTTAACAGGGAAGTTTTAGGTATTAAAGAAATATTCAATAAATGATAGCTGTTTCATATTACTTTCTTATTTATTTAAACTTAAGTATTCAAGCTGCTTTTCTGATGTGCAGGACTTGTAAGTAGCAGGCCTGTAGATGTATTAAATAATAGCATCGAGATATAATCAAAGTAGCCACCCCATAATCTCTATCAGTCACCTCAGGCCTCATGTTACCCCAGAAAAACATAAAATCCAAGTAGAAATTGTGCTTTTGCTGTGCAAATGCAGATTTAAGCAAGTCTCTAGTTCAACAGTCTATGAACATTTTTACTCAGGTGCTCCATAAGTGAGTTTATAAAAACTGTATTGTTACCTCGTGCAGTTTTAGGTTCTAAAATTTTTCTTGAAAATTTAAATAGTTCCAAAAGATGTGTTTTATGGGTACATTTTGCATATTTACATTTCAAAATGACACTTTTTCATCAACTTTGAGTGTATCTTATGAGCACAGACCACAGTGTTCAGATATCTGCCATCATCTGTGTAAAAATGATATAAAAATGTTGATAATGGAGAATTTTACATTATTTCATTTTCCTTTTTCAACTGTATTTTCAAATTATTTCTCCTACTGTATATTATGCTAATAATCAATGTTTTATGCTTGGCAGTCTTTGAGTACTCTATCCTACATTATAAGTAAGATATGTATCTAAATTGAATTTTTAATTGTTTTTGTTTTCTGCGATCATAGTCATTAAGTTAAAATTTTCCTCCTGAGTTATCATTATATTATTTTAGTACACAGGTGCTCAAAACAACATAAATTGTTTTTAATAAAAAGTCATAGAAAATAGGATGTTATTGGAAATAGCTCATAGTAAGATGGATTTAGGTATTCTTTATCCAATTACATTATGTATTCACGTACAAATAATATTTATTGATAGAGTCAAGTTGGCAGAGTGGTTGCATTCTTCGTTCACATAAATAATTTTTGTTATTAAAAAGATCATTGAGTTAAGTTAACCAAAAACCATAATTGTTTATTATGAAAAATCATATTTAATGATTTTTTTCAGGGTGACAGCTCAATTATGCCTTTGTTCAGTTTCTTGAAAGCCAAAAATTGGAATCTACCTAACTTCCAAAAGAATTCATTATCCTCTCATTTTCATTATCCTCATCCTTTCCAAACCACTCTCAGGTTTTTTGGAAAGTATCCAAAAAAGGCATTATTAAGGCTAAAACAGAACAAAACCAAAAACCAAAAAACAACAACCTAGTAATTATACCTGTTACTCTTTTACTCAGAAGAATAAGAAAGTAGAAATGTTAATTTCACATTATCTTTGACAGCATAATACATTTAATCAATTGTATCAAATGCTATGCGTGAGTGTGTGTGCATGTGTGTGTATGTATTTGGGATACAATTCAACTTATTTCATGTATAGATTCTATCTGTTATAAAATCTAATTGATAAAGGCAGTTTTCACTGACAAAACAATCAGCTAAAACAGAATTATCTTTTGTCAAAAATATCTGGTTGTATTTTTCTGTTGAAACAAATGGGTTAATACATGTCCCCATGACAATCATCTCAATTCCAATTTCTAACTTTAAGATAGGTAGATGATAGATTGATAGCTAGATGATAGACAGATAGATGGATGGGGCACAGGGTTTAAAAATAAGTTTGTCTCATTGAGGAACTAATGTCCTCTGCCTTGAGTATTTATTAATGCATATTCCTTGTGTTGCTCTCACAACGCAACACAGCAATTATTTGAGAGTGGGTGAAGATATGGAAAAGCTGAGACCCTTAAATGAAAACTATACTTGGATCTGCTGACAGTCTATATACTGTCTCTAAATTTTCCATGAGATATCATTTTATTCTTTCTCTATTGACAAAAATCTTCATAATAACTGGTATTGATATGTATGCAGATCAGCGCGAGCCTAAAATGTTGGGGTTTTTTAACAACCATTTTGCAAGCAATTTGGCATCATTGTGTAAAATTGAACATTTGCACGTCTTGGTACCCAACAGTTCCACTCATAGAGATATACCCTAGAGACAGTTCGCACCGACGAGCAGGCAAACTATCATTCATAGCAATGTTATTTGGAATAGCTAAAGAATAAGGGGGTAGTTATAGGAGGTGGAAGAAATATTCTTCAATAAGAAAATGAATCAAGTTGGCTATAGTCTAATAATAAAATCACGGAATTATAAATGACACCATAGATGAACCTAAAAAATAATAAGGGTGTAAAAAACATTCTACAAGGGTGATGCAATGTAAAACCATCTTTGAGGCTCAAAAGCAAGTAAAACTAAAAAATAAAAACTAAATACATATTTTGGAGATACATACTTCGATAAGGACTGACTTTTAAAAATCAATGAAATTATAATTCTAGATAGTAATTATCTTTGGTATAAATATAGGCAGGGATGTAAGATGGGGAGCAACACACAGATAGATGTAATGTTAGTAATGTTCTAATTGTTAACTTCGTGGTGGATTAATGAAGTTAATTTTATTATAATGCTTTGAAGCATATACTTTTGTAGTTATTTTATAATGATTTTTTAAAATAAAAATCTGATGACAGATGTAAATCCAGATACACCATTAGTCATAACAAATGTACATGGTTTAAATTCTCCATGTGCGTAACAGAAATTGTCAGATTGGATTCAAAAAGATAATTTATGATATACAGCTATAAGAGGTACATCAATAACTTTAGAACATAGAAAAGTTGAAAATAGTAAGAATGACACACTAGGCAATACTGCTCAAAATGAAACTGATGTACTCTCCTTTTATCAGTTTCTAAATAAAATTGACCTTAAACAAAATTAATATTAAGAAAAGAAGGCCACTATATGGAGAATTGAGAAAACAAGCATCATGCTATAACTACTCATGTATACACCAAGTAAAACAGCTTCAAAAATCAATGAAGAAAAATACTAGTAGATTTTCAAAAAGAAATAGACAAATATGCAATCACAGTGATAGACCTAACACAAATCTCAGAAACTGATATGTGTAACAGATAAATGTTAACAAAGATTAATAAAAATATAAACACACACCAATTAAAAGCTTGACATATATAGAGTGCTGCATGCATGAAACATTTATAAAATTTAGTATCCTTTAGGACATTAGACACTGATATCGTAAAGATCATATCCACTGGATCACAAAGAATAACAGCAAAAATAACAAATCATGACACACTTAGACATTTAAAAATATACTTCTAAATAGGTTATGGATCAAGCATATCATCTGGAAAATTATTTACTTATTTACCACTCTGCCTTTGTTTATTTCTAGTTAAAAAGATAACCCATATTTCTTGATCTTGCTAAATGAACCTATCCTTTTTTCATGCCTTTATACTCTTATAAATGGATGATTCAAAACCAGATTTTTAAAAAGCTTTTTAATATTTTGGTTTCATTTATTTTATTTTTTAGGTTGATGAATATGAATTGCCTATATTTATGGTATACCACATGATACTTTGAAATATGTATATGCTGTGGAATGGCTAAACCAAGCCAATTAATGTATTTATTACCTCACATAATCCCTTTTTATTTTGTGAGAACACTTAAAATCAAATCTCTTGGCAAGTTCAATATATAATACCTCATTATTAACTATATTAACCATGCTGTACAATAGATCTCTTGGATTTATACATCATGGAAATTGTAAAACAATAATGGAAAAGGAAAATATTTCATATTAAAACATGAATTGCATATATTAAGTATTACTTGGAGAAAGTAAAAGAAAATAAATTATAATAAGAGCAATATTAATGAATTTGGTGGGGGCGGGATGAAATATAAACACCAATGATGCCAAGAGCCTGTTTTAAAAACCTACTAAGCAGGGGAAAAAGACTCTGAAAAGATTGACAAAGGAAAAAGAAAAAACAATTTTGTTAGCAAACTTAGGAATATTTTGAAAAATGTAACAAATGTACATTAAAACTTTCTAAAGGTAAAAGTATGGACAATTGTATAGAATAATATCAAAACTGATCCAATAAGAAAGAAAATACGAATAGAGCTATAACTATTAAAGGAATTGAATCAAACACACATACACACACACACACACACACACACACACACACACGTCCCAAACAACTTTTCTATTGATTTCTACCAAATACAATCTCACATAAAGAGGAAGAAACACTTCACAGTTTATTTTCTGATGATATGATTTTCATATCAAAGCCCAGATCAAGACAGTATGGAAAAGGGAAGTTATAGTCCATTGCTATTATGAGCATAGATGCAAAAATGCTAAGGAACATACTGGCAAACAACTCAGTAGTGTATTAACAAAGTATAATATGACCAAGCTGAGTTTATCCTAGTAGTGAAAAGATAGGTTAACATTAGAAAATGTATCCATTAAATTGATGCTTAATAAAGACGAAAATTCATATGATCATCCCAATGTATTTAGAAATAAATAATTCATAAGATTTTTTTATTTATAAGCATATAAACTCTTAGAAGGCAATACTCTGAGAGATTTCTTTAACCTAACAAGGGGCAACAGAAACCAATAATCTATAAGGTAAAATCTCAAATTTTTCCTTTAAGGTTTAGGAATGAGACAATATAAGTCACTACTACTTGATGTATTCAATAAGGCCAGTGCAGTGAGACAAGAAAAAAATCATGAGGCTTGGAAAGGAAAAACACCAAATTGTCATCAATAGCAGGTAATATTGCATAGAAAACTCAGGAGAATTTACAGAATTATTTCTAACAATAATAGGACGCTTGACCATTTCCTTAACCTTGCTTTATTTCTTTTTAAGTGTGCTTCTGCACTTGATGTTATTTATGTTTCATGTCCTCTAATCTGAAATATGCACTTGCTAAAGGAAAAAAATCTGTGCATCAAAAGCATCTGTTAATCCCAGCACTTTGGGAGGCCGAGGCAGGCGGATCACAAGGTCAGGAGATTGAGACCATCCTGGCTAACACGGTGTAACCCCGTCTCTACTAAAAAATACAAAAAATTAGCCGGGTGGCCGGGCGTGGTGGCTCACGCCTGTAACCCCAGCACTTTGGGAGGCCGAGGCGGGCGGATCACGAGGTCAGGAGATCGAGACCATCCTGGCTAACATGGTGAAACCCCGTCTCTAATAAAAATACAAAAAAATTAGCCGGGCGTGGTGGCGGGCGCCTGTAGTCCCTGCTACTGGGGAGACTGAGGCAGGAGAATGGCGTGAATCCGGGAGGCGGAGGTTGCAGTGAGCCGCGATAGTGCCACTGCACTCCAGCCCGGACGACAGAGCGAGATTCCGTCTCAAAAAAAAAAAAAAAAAAAAAATTAGCCGGGCATGGTGGCAGGCGCCTGTAGTCCCAGCTACTAGGGAGGCTGAGGCAGGAGAATGGCGTGAACCCGGGAGGCGGAGCTTGCAGTGAGCCGAGATCGCGCCACTGCACTCCAGCCTGGGCGACAGAGCGAGACTCCATCTCAAAAAAAAAAGACTTGCAGAACAATATCAAGAACTCCTAAAAATTAATAAAAAGATGCCCAAATAGAAAAATGAGCAAAGGATATGAACATAATTCATAAAAAACCCCTGCAGATCCAATAAGCATATGAAAGACACTCAACTTCAGTACTAATCAAGGAAATGTAAATTAAAATCACAATGAAAAGCTATTTCACCCCCACCAAGTGAGAAAAAATGGAAGACTATGTAAATTAGTACAACCACTATGGAGATCAATTTAGCCTAATCTTATAAGACCCATTTCTTTTCCAGAAATAAACTTTAGAGATACTTTTGTACTCATGCAAAACAAACCTGAAAAGAATATTCATTGCAGCATAGATTGCAATAGCACTGAATTGGAAACAATTTAAATTTCCACCAAATTCCCATCAATCCCTATACAGTTGTTTTTTTGTTTGTTTTGTTTTGTTTTTAGATGGAGTCTTGCTCTGTCACCCAGGCTGGAGTGCAGTAGCACAATCTTGGCTCGCTGCAACCTCCGCCTCCCGGGTTCAAGCAATTCTCCTGCCTCAGCCTCCCTAGTACAGGCGCCCGCCACCACGCCCAGCTAATTTTTGTATTTTTTAGTAGAGACGGGATTTCACCATGTTGGTCAGGCTGGTCTTGAGCTCCTGACCTCAGGTGATCCGCCTGCCTTGGCCTCCCAAATTGCTGGGATTACAGGTGTGAGCCACCGTGCCCGGCCTAAATATAGTTTTTATAGATTCATCTAATGGCATACTATAGAGCAGTTAAAATGAATTAACTATAGCTAGATAGATTCAAAGGACAAATCTCAAAAATACTCCTTAGAGCCAAAAAACAAAAAAAGCATGTTACCAAAAAGATGATACAGTGTAATACTGTTTAAAGTTTAAGAACATAAAATATAATTCTACAGATAATTCATAGAGCCAGATATATGGAAGAACACTATAAAAATCATGTCTAGGAATAGTCAACTTCAAATTCAGAGTAATAATTCTCTCTGGGGATAAGGAGGGGATTGGAATTGAGGTGTAACAGAAGGAGAGCTTCAAGTGTATTCACTATTTTTGATACTTTTGCATAGGCCTGGAATTTTTCATAGTAATAACAAAGAGGTGATTGATAACAGAAACCAGGTTTTAATCTACTTAAAAAAAATGTTGGTGGAAAAGAGGAGATAGGAGGAATATAACTAGTCTTTAGGAAGTTCAGGCCAGGAGCAGTGGCTTACGCCTGTAATCCCAGCACTTTGGGAAGTCGAGGTGGGCAGATCATCAGAGGTCAGGAGTTCGAGACCAGCCTGGGCAACATGGTGAAACCCCGTCTCTACTAAAAATAAAAAAAAAAAATTAGCCAGGCATGGTGGTGAACACCTGTAATCCCAGCCACTCGGGAGGCTGAGGCAGGAGAATTGCTTGAACCCAGGAGGCGGAACTTTCAGTGAGCCGAGATCGTGCCACTGCACTCCAGCCTGGGTGACAGAGCAAGACTCTGTCTCAAAAAAAAAAAAAAAAAAAAAAAAAAAAAAAAAGGGAAGATGGTATTGATGGTATTCGTTTCAGAAGGAAATGGTGTTTAAAGAAGTTTTTTTTTGGCCAGGCCTGGTGGCTCACAGCTGTAATCCCAGCACTTTGGGAGGCCAACGCAGGCGGATCACTTGAGGTCAGGAGTTCCAGACCAGCCCGGCCAACATGGTGAAACCCTGTCTCTACTAAAAATACAAAAATTAGCTGGGCGTGGTGGCACAACCTGTAATCCCGGCTACTTGGTAGGCTGAGCCAGGAAAATTGCTTGAACCTGAGAGGCGGAGGTTGCTGTGAGCCAAGATCATACCACTGCACTCCAGCCTGGGTGACAGAGTGAGACTCCGTCACAATAAAAAAAATTAAAAAAAAATAAAAATTTGATAAAGCATAGGAGACACATGAGCATGTTTATGTAAATAGTGGGAAGAAACCAGGGGGACGAGTTTTAAAGGAGAGAGGTGGTGATTGAGAGCAAGGTTTCTTATTTCCATCCTTGTCCTGGTGTCTTGAATTCTACATTTCAAGGGACTTAGTACTGACTGGATTAGGGAGAACAAGACATAGGCATAACCTAGCGGATGACTTTAAAGGTCCATTCTTCTGAACATTCTGTATGGATGCACAGGCCATATAACCTAGATACAACCTAGATACACTGATAAAAGTCATAGATTAGAAATTGTCTTAGCTTTCCTTAAAATGTATTATTTAAGCAAAATATAATGTTCACAAGAAGATTAATTTTGGGTTAAAATCTTGATAAGAACCAGTATTGTTTTCTACCAGGTTTACCTCTGTCATTTCTGAGTTTGACTCTCACTTCCCCTTGCTGAAAGCATGTATTTCCTGAGTGCCAGGGTTTTATATGACACACATATGCATTTTAAGTTGCTTTTGTGTAACTATTAGAAATATGGTCGATTCCTACACGCAACCCTTGGGCTATGGTCTATGAAAGAGCAGTATCATAGCAGAATAACCTTTTCATAGCCCACAATATTTCTACTGCTGTCTCTTTTGCATATATTTTAGAGACATTTTGATAATCGGTCAAGTTCAATATATCAATTGGAATTAAATGCTATATTCCCTATTAAAAATAGCTAATTTTTGTACTGTGCAGCCAGTGGAGCCGGAAATCATTATCCTCAATAAACTAATGCAGGAACAGAAAACCAAACACTGCATGTTCTCACTTATAAGTGGGAGCTCAACAATGAGAACACATGGACACAGGGAGAGGGACAATACACACTGGAGCCTGTAGGGAGTGGGGCATGGGGAGGGAGAGCATTAGGAAAAAGAGTTAATGCATGCTGGGCTTCACACGTAGTTGATGGGTTGATAGGTGCAGCAAACCACCATGGCACACGTTTACCTATGTAACCTGCACATCCTGCACATTTACCCCAGAACTTAATAAAAATAAAATGTTTTTTTAAAATAGCCAATTTTTGTGTACATCTTGCACATGTACCCCAGAACTTAGAAATAATTTTTTTTAAATAGCCAATTTCTGATATATAATAGACATAATTTAATGGAAAATTCTTAAGAAATTTTGAAGAATGGATGATTCGTTGTAGTTTTTTTCTTTCCTCCTGTGCCTCTTTTTCTCCTTCCTCTCAAAACAAACAAGCAAACAGTGAAGAGCACAACACATTATCATCTATTCTTAATTTCACGCATCTTCCCTCATTTATTGCAGCTAAACTCTTGACACACTGCATAGTTTGATGAGCCTAGAGTTAAATTATTATAGCAATAAAGAAATACGCAACTGAAAAACAATCCACTCACTCCAAGAGCTTGTGGTCCTCACTATCTCATATGCCTAATTGAGTGTTTGAGATTGTTCGAAAAGCTGTAGATTTAAATGAAAATAAAATCCTGTCTGAATATTAATGGCATTCATTTAAACTTTCATTTAGCACTTATCTATTATGAAATCAACACAAAACACAGTAACTCAAAGGCTGCTTGAGTGTTTAAAAGCCTATTAGGGCTGAGCACGGTGGCTCATGCCTGTAATCCCAACAGTTGGGAGGCCGAGGCGGTCAGATCACCTGAGGTCAGGGGTTCGAGACCAGCCTGGCCAACATGGTGAAACTCTGTCTCTACTAAAAATACAAAAATTAGCCACGCATGGTGGCAGGTGCCTGTAATCCCAGCTACTTGGGAGGCTGAGGCGGGAGAATCACTTGAGCCTGGGAGGCAGAAGTTGCAGTGAGCTGAGATCGCATCATTGTAATCCAGCCTGGACAACAAAAGTGAAACTCCGTTTCAAAATATTAAAAAAAAAAAAAAAAGCATACTAGGATCATCTGAGAGGTTTCTAAAACTACTGCTAGGTTTTCTGCTCTTCCCAACACAGCCTTAGCCCTAATGCTGTGAAGCTACTACATGTGACAGGAAACAAGGTGATATCTCTGAGGCATAGTAGGGCAGATAAAAGGCTGAGAATGATATGGTTGATGCATGTGTGTGTGTATATATATATATATATATGTATGCACACACACACACACATTTAAAATGACTTTCTGAAATGAATGTATTAGATACTGAATGTGTACCCGTATGTATACTGTTTACATAGACACAAGCACATGTACAAAATTCACTTTGGTAAATATTTACCTCAGTGAAAAATGGTTTAGAAATACAGTTGGATTTTTCTGTAAAGATGAGGCACTGTAATTATGAAGAAAAGAAAAACCCTTAGATACTCTTTTTGTGTGTAGTGGGTAAATTTCACAGACCAGAAATTTAAAAATGCACCAATGTGCCGTGTTCTTCATTTTCTCTGATTGGGCCTAATTTAGGATTTAAATCCAATGAGCCTTGTAGCCAGAATGCAGCCTGACAGTGATAAATTAATTCTAGTTTGTTTAGGGCACTAATTCTAGTTTGCTTAGGGCAAACATAATTATATCAATATTTTCTGTGTCTAGTCTCACCTTTAAGTCTTGATTCCAATGTCATCTTCTCAAGTGGTCTCCCTCAACGTCTTTAAAATTGTGCTCTATTTAAAAACGTGCTTCCTCCTATCCCCCTTTCCTACTTTATTTTTCTTCATAGCATTTAAATCTTCTAACATACTATCATATTATACTTTATTTGGTTTCGTACTTGATTCCTCATTGGAACATTTTCATGCGCGTCCGTGTGAAGAGACCACCAAACAGGCTTTGTGTGAGCATTAAAGCTTTTAATCACCTGGGTGCAGGTGGGCTGAGTCCGAAAAGAGAGTCAGCGAAGGGAGATAAGGGTGGTGCCATTTTATAGGATTTGGGTAGATAAAGGAAAATTACAGTCAAAGGGGATTTGTTCTCTGGTGGGCAGGAGTGGGGGTCACAAGGTGTTCAGTGGGGGAGCTTTTTGAGCCAGGATGAGCCAGGAAAAGGACTTTCACAAGATAATGTCATCACTTAAGACAAGGACCGGCCATTTTCACTTCTTTTGTGGTGGAATGTCATCAGTTAAGGCGGGGCAGGGCATTTTCACTTCTTTTGTGATTCTTCAGTTACTTCAGGCCACCTGGGCATATAGGTGCATGTCACAGGGGATGCGATGGCTTGGCTTAGGCTCAGAGGCCTCACAAACATAATTTCTATAAAGGTATACATTTTTGTCTTTATTTATTTATTTATTTATTTATTTATTTATTTATTTATTTATTTATTTTGAGACAGAGTTTCACTCTTGTTGCCCAGGCTGGAGTGCGATGGCGCCATCTCGGCTCACCGCAAGCTCCGCCTCCCGGGTTCAAGCGATTCTCCTGCCTCAGCCTCCCAAGCAGCTGGGATTGGAGGCATGCATCACCACACCCAGCTAATTTTGTATTTTTAGTAGAGATGGGGTTTCTCCATGTTGGTCAGGCTGGTCTCAAACTCCCGACCTTAGGTGATCCGCCCGCCTCAGCCTCCCATGTATTATTAGTTCCTAGAATAGCACCTGAAAGCATTCTACTGCTGAATGAATATTTGACGGTGAAATTGAATACAAGATTTATGCCCCTCTTATTACCAGGGCTGCTTATGTTCTGGGTACTCACCTGATAGGGAGGTCTTGTTCAGTCGTTGGCCATTCTCATCTGACTTTGCTGTCTTCGACTGAATTGTCTTCATTCATCTCTGCTGGCATTTTACAGGATGTTTGTGTTCTGCACTGATTTGATATTGGGTTCACATTGGGTGCCCTCCTCCCCTCTGTGAGTCACTGTTCCTTCTCGTGCCTCATCCGGGCCTCTTTAGGAGTGCTGGAAAGCTAAGAATGCTCTCTCTGGCCGCTTGGAGATTGCAGCCTATTGGTGGAGGGAGAAGGAAGGGTTGCCACAGCCCCATCAGCCTGGAATTAGTTTGTCACCATATCTGTACTGTTCATGGGTTTGGATCTGTGAAATTATGAGACCCTGCCATTTGGCTGAGTACAATATAGGAAGCAAGATAGAAGCTCACTTTGGCTCTGCGATCTATCTGGTCCTCACTTGGGCAGAAGGCTGGGGAGAACTTGCCTCCTCTGACTCTCCCCTCCTGTAGGCTCTGGAATTTTCAGCCTATCTTAGACTGGAGGCCCTGGGTTCTTTATCTGTTCTTTTCTGTCCTAAGGCATAAGGGCTTTGTTCCTTTGGTATTCAAAAGCAGAGATTTTAATATCACAAGGCCCTGCTATAAAGATCTTTGTCTCTGCATTGAATATTCAAAGACATTTTAAAATCCAAAAGCCAAGTATAGCTTTTTTTTCCCTCTCTCTCTCTTGAAATGCCTCCTTCTTGAGAGCAGTGGATACTTCATGGTCTTGTTTCAAAGGGGCTGAGGGGTGTAGGAAGCCCTTCAAGTAAAAAGGAGTTTGGGGTCAGGGGAGTAGGGCACATCTTCATATTACATGTTTTTATTTAAAAACAAACAAAAGTAAAAAAGTAGAAGAAATATAACCCTTGTTTTCTCCCTTCTGGAAATTAATCCTTCTGTATTTGTTTTCTGGAGAATGATTCTGAATATTCTCTATATGTTTTCTGTGAAAATGTCAGCCTAGTATTCGTTTCTAGTAGATGTGCTTTCAGCAAAACTTGCTCTTAATGTCTCTGGTGTGCAGTCATCTGAGATTTCTCATTTGTTCCAAGGTACTTGAAGGGCTGATTTGGCTTTGAAATTTACAGCTAACACTCCCTGAACTTGGCTGTAGCCTTTACATATTTACTGTACATCTTTCACAATATAATGATTTCCAAGCTTCATTTAACTTGATCCATATTAAACAAGTAAGCTTGGGAGGTGGGGGTGGCTTAAAAAAAACAAAAGGTTGGTGCTTACTGTTTTTGGTATTCTGCCTTGTTTTTGTTAAATCACTTTAATTGGCCCTTTAATTACATTACACTGAGCCCTTGTTTCAAAGACTCATCTGGAATACCTGCTTAGGAAAAATGTGGGTCAGATGGGAATGAAGCACAAAACTGAGCTGCAACTTAACATGAAAATTCCCCAGTGGAGCCAAACACTGTCAATTTTTTGTTTATATCTTTGGTGACTTGATGCAAATAGAATCGACAGTTGGCCAGGATCTTTGTTGTTTTGTTTTGTTTTCAGAGGTATTTAAAAAAAATTTTGCTATCGGGAAAGCAAAGCCTAAACTGTTAGGTATTTGATTACTCTCAATGTTGTTGTTTTATTCTTTTTTATTTTATTTTATTAAATTATGTAGTTGCCAAAATAAAACTAAGAGCTAATAACTATAAAAGTATTTTGATACTTTGTAAAGTGAGCATATTAAATCATTTGTTTAATTTCATATATATTCCTCATAAGCTAATTTTATAGGATGATTGATGGCACAGAGAATGTGCATGTTAAAGAAAGGGGGTAAAAGCTACTTATACCTGTTCAGTAAATAAATTGGAGGAGAGAAAAGTCTGTCGGCTGATTCTGGCAGAAGTTTCTCATGATGTTTGAGAAAGTAGAATGTAATACAGAGACATCTTAATATGAGCTATATGTTTTTTGTATGAATATAATAATAATAGGAGTTTTTCCCATTTTGGTGGCTATAAAATTTTACTTTCCAAGAGTTATTTTAGTATTTTTTCTTTTATTTACTTTAACTTTTTGGAAATCAATCTGAAATTTTACTTGAAAGTGTTCAGTTTCTGGTTCATGTCAATTACATTTGATTCAAAGGCTTTGTTCATTTTTAACCACAAGAAGATAATCATTCATATTAGCAGTTGGTTGTCCTCTGTGTACCTAATTAAATTGTATTAATAAGGTGAAATGAACATTGTCAAACTGTACTTATTTACTTTTAAATATATCTCATTTTGATATAACAATTTGATTCTTAGCTCCTTTGTCAGAATGTACTACAAACAGAAAATTCGTTTCATAAATTATTGCTGTTACCATTAATTCATACTGGTGAAACATTCATGATGTCAATAGTGTTATCCATTATAATTAGTTAAAGTCCATGAATTTCATAGATGTTCATGTTTATTTTTACTGTACAAATGATTTGTTGTTCAAAATAGGTGGAAATAAAAAGGTTCAGGTGAAGTGAGAGTTTGTAACTATAATTTGGATGGGATTATTAGCCATTTAAAAAAACAATTCTAAGCTTCAAATCCTTTCTCGTACAAGGTTATAGAGGAAAGAAGGTTAAAAAAGTGTAGTTTACATCTGAAGATGAATGTGAACAAATTATTGGGCTACTTAAACAGATGCAAATGCATCTCCATAAGTTTTCATTGAGATCACAGATTAAAGCAATTCTAGAAGAAATCTGTATGGGAAGAAAACAATGTAGAAAATAAAGAGGAATGATTTTGTCAATATTATCCAGCTTCGCACATTAGCATAACTTGTCTATAAGTTTTTATTGGGAAAGACCTCCTTCCCACCTTCCACCTTTCAAAAGTACTTCCTCATTCCATGAGATATTGCTAGAAAGTCTACCATTAAAAATTGGTTTCCAGAAAGTATCACTCCTCTTTGGGAATGCATGTATCCCTCATTAGGGTAGCAATGGCTCCGATCAGTGATTCACAGGTGGATATCGAAACTTCATCATCTGTGTGGCCTCTGTGGCTGCTAGATGGGATCAAGGCTGCTGAAAAGTGAAAGAAGATTGTGTGCTGGCTTGTGCTGGGTGACCATGGGCCAGTTGTGGGGAGTGAGAAGTAGTTGTGAGGAAGCAAGGAAGTACAGAAGACTGGGCTCTTCATCATGTACCCTGAGGCTGCCTCCAGCAAACTGTTAAACTTGGAAATTAGACTATGCTAGCTTGATTACCTGTTGGTGCATTTGAAATGCAGTGGGAGCTTTTTCTTGAAAAATAAAAAAAAAAAAAAATACTTTCCAGGCCAGGAGTGGTGGCTCATGCCTGTAATCCCAGCAATTTGGGAGGCTGAGGCAGGAGGACTGCTTGAGGCCAGGGGTTGAAGAGCGGCCTGGGCAACAAAGTGAGACCTTGCCTCAAAAAAGAACAAAAATAAAACCCAAAACCATAAATATATAATATGTAAAATATATATATTAATGTTTTGGGTTTTTTTTAATTTAAATACATAAATATATCTATATCTATATATTCTAAAATAAAAGAAAATACTTTTCAAATAAGAACTTATATCTTCAGCTGTGATTACAGTTTATAGATTTGCCTATTTAAATGTCAGAAGTCTGTCGAATACAATGATTTATAGAAGTTGTTAAAAAAAATTCCCACATGGCTTCTTTATTAAAAAACAAAAGCTACAGTTAATTGCCCATACAAACAGAGTTTTTATTTAAAATGGAACAAAATTTAATGTCCATAAATTTAACTTATGAATGTAAATTGAATGACATAGATCAGTAATTTGTCCTAATTGTTATAATCTACTCAAAACAAAACATTGGTAAAGCTTTTGTCTACAGAAAAATTACTTTTTTGTGTCTATAGATAAATTACTTTTTTGTTGTTGTTGTTGTTTTTTTGAGACAGAGTCTCGCCGTGTCACCCAGGCCAGAGTGCAGTGGCACAATCTCGGCTCACTGCAACCTCTGCCTCCCAGATTCAAGCGATTCTCATGCCTCAGCCTCCGAAGTAGCTGTGATTACAGTTGGGTGCCACCATGCCCAGCTAATTGTTTTGTATTTTTTAGTAGAGATGGGGTTTTGCCATATCAGCCAGGCTTGTCTTGAACTCCTGACCTCAAGCGATCCACCTGCCTCGGCCTCCCAAAGTGCTGGGATTATAGAAGTGAGCTACCAAGCCCAGCCTATACATAAATTACTTACAATATATGGGATGTATTATAGTAAAATAGAAGTAACTAAGCTAAAGCCATCTGTATTCAACCTTAAAAAAGTTATTTATTGCTGTAATATATTGATTCATTCAACAAATTTTTACTGAATGCCTACCATGTATTGGTCACTATTCTAGGTGCTGGGGGGTCACTGTGAATAAAATGGACAAACTCCCTGCTTTCAAGGAGCTTGCCTTGTAATGATGCCAGTCATAGCCCAGATTAGTAGTCTATTTTTAAGAGAATTTGTAGTTTATTTTCAAAAGCATATATATATATATATATATTTATTTATTTATTTATTTATTTATTTAGAGATGGAGTCTTGCTCTGTCACCCAGGCTGGAGAGCAGTGGCGTGATCTCTCCTCACTGCAATCTCTGCCTCTTGGGTTTAAGCGATTCTCCTGCCTCAGTCTCTCGAATAGCTGGGATTACAGGCACCCGCCACCACACCTTGCTAATCATTGTATTTTTAATAGAGACTGGGTTTCACCATGTTGGCCAGGCTGGTCTCGAACTCCTGGCCTCATGTGATCCACCCACGTTGGCCTCCCAAAGTGCTGGGATTACAGGTGTGAGCCACTGTGCCCGGCCTTTTCTCACATTTATTTTTAAAAGCATTTTCTCATGTTTTAATAATTAATTTTGTAACTTAGCATAATTACCTAGTGAACGTTCTTGAGTTGAAGATGCATTTATGTTTATATTAATTTGGTAAATGAAATTAATTATTTCAACAACTGTATATGAAAAGGCTGTTATCTGCTGGGAACTGTTTTAAGGATAATGGCAGTTAGAAAAATGAATCAGAAACAGATCCTGACCTCAAGGTATAGTCAATAATGGAGAATACAACAGTGACAGAAGAATGGAAGAAAAGCAGTTATAAAATAGGCTTTGTGCCAATCTCAGTAGTTAAATAGAATGAAGCGCTGTGTGTCTGTGTGGAGCAGGGCAGTACTATTGCCCTTATATGTGTGCATTGAAAAGTTAATATTTTCAACTTTGTATTTCTTCCAACGATTACAACTTATACCTGTTTTATT